>NC_000001.11:49856865-50008380 GCF_000001405.40 Homo sapiens | reverse complement strand
TCTATAGATTCCAAAATTCCTCTTGTTCTTGACTTCTAGTTTTATTCCCTGTGTTCAGAGAAGATACTTGATATAATTTTATTTTTTAAAAATTTTAAAGACTTGTTTTGTGTCCTAATATATGGTCTATCCTTGAGAATGAGGCATATGCTAAGGAGAAAAATGTGGATTCTGCAGCCATTGGTTGAAATGTTCTGTAAATATCTGTTAGGTTCATTTGGTCTACAGTGCAGATTGCATCTGTTGATGTTCTGTATGGATTGTCTGTCCAGTGCTAAAAGCAGGGTGTTGAATGAAGTCTGTAGCTATTATTGTATTGGGGTCTATCTATCTCTTCAACTCTAATAATATTTTCTTTATATATCTGGGTGCTCCAGTGTGGGGTACATATATTTCTAATTGTTTTATCCTCTTGCTGAATTGGCCCCTTTATCATTAGATCATGACCTTGTCTCTTTTCATTGTTTTTTTCTTGGAATTTCTTTTGTGTGATACAAATATACCAACTTCTGCTGTTTTTGGGTTTCTATTTGCATGGAATATCTTTTTTCATCCGTTTATTTTCAGTTCATGTGTGTCTTTATAGGTGAAGTGTGTTTCTTTTTCCCTTTTATTTGGACAGGGTCTCACTCTGTCACCTAGGCTGGAGTGCAGTGGCATGATCATGTCTCACTCAGTCTTGACATCCTGGGTTCAAGCAATCATCTTGCCTCAGCCTCCTGAGTATCTGGGATTACAGGCATGTGCTTCCACACCCAGCTTTTCATTTTGTTTTGTTTTTGTAGGGACAGAATCTCACTTTGTTGCCCAGGCTGGTCTTGAACTCCTGGGCTCAACCAATCCTCCCTCCTCGACCTCCCAAAGTGCTAGGATTATGGATGTGAGCCACCGTGCCTAGCCAGAAGTGTGTTTCTTATACACAACAGATTCTTAGGTCTTGTTTTCTTATCCATGTAGCCACTGTATGTCTTTTGATTGGAGAGTTTAGTCCATTTATATTCAATGTTGTTATTGATAGATAAGGACTTCTGCCATTTTGTTACTTGTTTTTTGATTGTTTTGTGGTCTTCTTTCTTTCCTTCCTTGTCTTCCTTTTTGTGAAGATTATTTTCTGTGGTGAGGTATATTTTAATTTCTGATTTTTTATTTTTTGTGTACGTCATATAGTTTCTGATTTGAGGTTACCATGGGGCTTGCAATTAAATTCTTATAACCCATTATTTTAAACTAATGACAACTTAACACTGATTGCATAAACAAACAAGCAAAGAGAAAAACTAATAAAAACTCTACATTTTAAGTCTCACCCCTTTAAAATTTTTTTTGTTTCTATTTATATCTTATACTGTCTTTGTCTTGAAAAGTTGTTGTGGTTATTATTTCTGATTGCTTCATCATTTAGTCTTTATACTCAAGATAGGAGTAGTTTGTGTACCACAATTACAGTGTTAAAATATTCTATGTCTTTTGTGTAGTTACTATTACCAGTGAGTTTTGTATGTTCCAATGATTTCTTCCTGCTCATTCATGTCCTTTTCTTTTAAACTGAAGAACTCCCTTTGGCATTTTTTGTAGGACAAGTCCAGTGTTGATGAAATCCCTCAGCTTTTGTTTGTCTGGGAAAGTATTTCTCCTTCATGTTTTAAGGATATTTTAGCTGGATACTCTATTCTAGGGTAAAGTTTTTTTGTTCTTTTGTTTTTTTTTTTCCCTTCTACACTTTAAATATGTCATGCTTGTCTCTCCTGGCCTGTAAGGTTTCCATTGAAAAGTCTGCTGCCAGGTGTATTGGAGCTCCATTGTATGTTATTTGTTTCTTTTCTCTTGCTGCTTTTAGGAACCTTTCTTTATCCTTGACCTTTGGGAGTTTGATTATTAAATGCTTTGAGACAATCTTCTTTGGATTAAATCTGCTTGGTTTTCTATAACCTTCTTGTACTTGAATATTGATATCTTTCTCTGAGTTTGGGAAATCCTCTTTTATTATCCCTTTGATAAACTGTCTACTCCTCTCTCTCTCTACCTCCTTTTTTTTTTTTTTTGAGGCGGAGTCTTGCTCTGTCGCCCAGGCTGGAGTGCAGTGGCGCAATCTTGGCTCACTGCAAGCTCCACTTCCTGGGTTCATGCCATTCTCCTGCCTCAGCCTCCCAAGTGGCTGGGACTACAGGCACCCGCCACCACGCCTGGCTAATTTTTTGTAGTTTTAGTAGAGATGGGGTTTCACCGTGTTAGCCAGGATGGTCTCGATCTCCTGACCTCGTGATCTGCCTACCTCGGCCTCCCAAAGTGCTGAGATTACAGGCGTGAGCCACCGCACCTGGCCTCTGCCTCTTTTTTAAGGCTAATAACTCTTGGATATGCCCTTTGAGGCTATATTCTAGATCTTGTAGACATGTTTAATTCTTTTTTATTTTGTCTCCTCTTACTATGTGTTTTCAAATAGCCTGCCTTTAAGCTCACTAATTCTTTCTTCTGTGTGATTGATTCTGCTATTAAGAGACTCTGATGCATTCTTCAGTATATCAATTTCATTTTTCAACTACAGATTTTCTGCTTGATACTTTTTAATTATTTTAATCTGTTTGTTAAATTTATCTGATAGGATTCTGAATTCCTTCTCTGTGTTATTTTGAATTTTACTGACTTTCTTCAAAACAGCTATTTTGAATTCTCTGAAAGGTCACATATCTCTGTGACTCCAGAATTGGTCACTGGTGACTTATTTAGTTCATTGTTTGAGGTCATGTCTTCCTGAATTGTCTTGATGCTTGTAGATGTTTGTTGGTGTATGGGCATTGAAGAGTTAGGTATTTATTGTAGTCTTTGCAGTCTGAGCTTGTTTATTCTTGTCCTTCTTTGAAAGGTTTTCCAGGTATTTGAAGGGACTTAGGTATTGTGATCTAAGATTTTGGCTACTGCAACTATATGTGCATTTGGGGGCACCTGAAACCCAGTAATGCTGTGGCTCTTCCAGACTCTAATAGGTACCATCTTGGTTGTTTTGGATAAAATCTGGAAGAATTTTCTGGATTACCAGGCAGAACTCTTACTCTCTTACCTGACTTTGTTGCAAACAGAGTTTCTCTCTCTGTATTGGGATGCCTGGAGCTGAGGGAGGGGTGGCAGAAGAACTCCTGTGGCCACCAGCACTGGGACTGTGCTGGATCAGACCTGAAGCCATCATATCCCTGGGTCTCACCAAAGGCCTGCGATAACCACTACCTGGCTACTGCCTATGTTTGCTCAAGTCCCTAAGGCTCTACAATCAGCAGGTGGCTAAGTCAGTAAGGCTTGTGTTCTTCCCTTCAGGGCTGTGAGTTCCTCCCATTCCCCGGCAGGTCTGGAGATGCCATCAGCGAGCTAGGTCCTGGAAACCTTAGGAATCTGCTTGTGCTCTACATTCCTGGAATTGCATATTCCAAGAGTCCATTTGGTACTGTACCCCACTGTGGCTGAGTTGGTATTTAGGTGTAAGACAAGTCCCCCTTGTTCTTCCCTCTCCTTTTCTCAAGTAGAAGGAGTCCCTCCCTGTAGCCACCACAGCTGGGAGTGTGCTGGGTGACACCTGAAGCCAGCATATTCTGATTCTCACCTAAGGCCCACTGCCTGGATACAGTTGCTGATTATTCAGGGTCCAAGGGCTCATTAATCAGCAAATGATGCATCCTGCTAAGACTCTTCCCTTCCTTTCAGGGCTGCAGGTTCCCTTCTTGCCCAGGGTACATCTAGAAATGTCATTTGGGAGCTGTGGTCTGGAATGAGGTCTCAGGACTCTGTCTGGGGCCCTGTCCTACTGTGGCTGAGCTGGTATCCAAGTTGCAAGAGAAAGTTCCTCTTGAGCCTTCCTTCTCCTCTCCTCTGGAGGAAGGAAGGTGTCACTTTTGTTGCTGTAAGCTGCACTGCCTGGGGTTGGGGGAGGGATGCACAAGCATTCCCTTGGCTATCCTGGCTGGTTTCTCACAGTGTCTCCAAGCCCAACATAGCACCAGGACTTGCCCAGGAATTACAGTCCTAGTGGCCTAGACTGCCTTTCAGGTTTATTTAGTACACCAGAGCCCTTTTGTCCATGGTGGTGAGGCTTGCTGGAACTCAGGTTCTAACCACTGGGATGGGTAATTACCCTCTGGCTAAGGCTGGTGTAAATGTTCCTTCTGGGGGCACTGGTTGATTTCTGCTCAGTGTTGCTTTCTGCTGTGACAGGGTAGCACTGAGTTCCAATGAAAAGTCCCACAATCACTGCATTTCTTTCTCCCTCAAGTGCGCAAAGATTCTTTTTCTGTGCCATGTGGCTTCTGCCAGAGGATGGGGGAGCAGTGGCTTAGGCAATTTAAGACTATTTTTCCTCTTCTCTTGAGTGCCTCTTTCAGTGACAGATAGGAAATTAAAACCAGGTACAGTGACCACTCACTTGATTTTTGATTCTTATTAAGGTGCTTTTTTGTGTGGATAGTTGTTCATTTGGTGTTCCTGTGGGAAGGATGATTGATGGAGGCTTCTATTTAGCTGTCTGGCTCCACCCAAGAACTTTCTTTTTCAAAGAATGTAGAAATTAGGTAAAATCCTTAAACTTTTCGCTGTAGTGTTCCTGAATTTTTCTGCTATGAGCTTTACCTACCCTTTCCTTGCTCCAGTTAAATAAAAGACACTGGCCTACTGAATAAGCCCTAGATCTTTGGCCCCTTTCTTCCTTCCTTCTGACCTTTATTGTTCTCTCTTTCTCTTTTTATTACTTGGCTATTGTCTCTCTGGCAGGCCAATAGAATTCTCTGGTCCCTGGGGATTTCAGTTCTAAAATTCATATGCTGTTTATCATTGCCAGCTACCTTAAGTACTATGAATATTTAGTGCTGAAAAGAAGAAATAGTCTAGGAAATATAATTTTAAAAATACTTCTGTATATGAAATTCCTAAAAATCAAGTTTGTCTTTTGAATATTGCAGTATTAAAAATAGTAAGTCAAGGCTTAAAATCCACTTTCTATTAATATTTGTTTTCTGAATCTAAGGAAACTCCTTCTGATGAGAATAGTAAAGCAATCTTTGAATGCACTGGGTAATAACCACATTTCTTAATTCCGAAACTATCTGTCTCTTTGCCTTGCAAGTTTCATTTACTCATTTTCAAAAAGCAAAACTTGTTATGGGGAATTTAATAATGAAACATACTTATTTCATGTTAACTTTTATATAGCTTTATTTGAGTCATATTTATCACATTCTTGTATTCCAGTTATTTTTGTATATGATTCTTAATTTTGTGTATTTTTCCTCATAAGATTATAAGCAAATTTATATCAGACATGAGTTAATATGGGGTGGGTGAATGTCTCATTGGACTTGGTGAGTAGAAGCTCTCATTTTCCTCCACGTTAGCTTCCTTTGGCCTTGGACTTTACTTTTTTGTTGTTTTAACTTTGATTAACTTCTATTAACTTTTATTTTGTTAATTTAACTTCTGTTATTTTTACTTTACTTTTTTGTGATTTTTGAATTATAATAAGATTTTAAAATTTAAACTTGGCATCCATACAGAGAGTAGGAACATAGGAAATTTGAGGCTCTTAGCATCCTGTAATGCATATCCTAGTAATAAAAAAGATAGTAGCATTAAGGTGAAAGGCCTCTGGTAGTCTTTTCTGTCTCTTACACACCAGTCCTCCACAGTTAATTCCTCTGTTGAAGTTCTCTATGGCCATGTATAAGAACTAGGGCTGGCCGGGCGCGGTGGCTCACGCCTGTAATCCCAGCACTTTGGGAGGCCGAGGCGGGCGGATCACGAGGTCAGGAGATCGAGACCATCCTGGCTAACACGGTGAAACCCCGTCTCTACTAAAAATACAAAAAATTAGCCGGGCGTGGTGGCGGGCGCCTGTAGTCCCAGCTACTCGGGAGGCTGAGGCAGGTGAATGGCGTGAACCCGGGAGGCGGAGCTTGCAGTGAGCCGAGATCGCGCCACTGCACTCCAGCCTGGGCGACAGAGCGAGACTCCGTCTCAAAAAAAAAAAAAAAAAAAAAAAAAAAAGAACTAGGGCAGATTTAAGGGCTCAAATAAATCGGAGTAAACCAGTACAATTTCTCAGCTAACACTGGGGTATTGTATCTTTTCCCAAACTGGCTATATAAGTTAAAGATAAAGCCGATTACCTTTGGTGTATTTGACTCACCTACTCAAACTGAAGCTTATGAGTACTCTTTCACATTAATTTAGCAGAGTCTTGTTTAATGGAGCCATGCCTAGGAATGAGAGAGAGTAGTAAATAAACTGCCCACAAAGAACTTACTTTCAAGAACTTATTTACAGTGTACAAAAAGTACACTGAAGGTAGCAGTGAATCTGGTGAAGTCCTTCTTTTTTCATCTCAGTGGCTATTAACAAAATAAATTTTTGTTATCAGGAAAAAGCTAAAATACATCTCCTTTCATTTCCACCATGCCATGCTATATTAAGTTTCTCTTAGACCAGTGGTTGCAAACTGGCAGCACGTAGGATGGATCAAGCTATCAGATATATTTTGTTGGGCTCATGAAGATAATAAAGAATTAGATTAGATTGATTGTCAATTATTTCAAAATAGGAAGATTTCATGTAAAAATATGAATTTCTGACTTTGGAAAATCCATGTGATTTGGTAAAACTGGGCCTGTGTTGCAGCACATTCACTGTTGGCTGGAGCTGAGCAGCTGGTGCCACCTTTAGCAGGGGACAAAGGCCGTTTGGTATGACAGTCCCCGTCATTCCCTATTTTCTCCTTAATTTCTTATTTTTAGTCTGCTTCACTGATTTTGTTTTACTTGCGTAGCTCCTAAAATTTGCAACCCGTTTTAGACTATCCCTGTGAATGTTTATATATACATTCATATATATATATATATACACACACACATACATATATATGTATATATAGACACACACATATACGGACACACACACATATACAGACACACACACACACACACACACACAAATTATTTTTTTCCTAAGTTGAAAAAATTCACCAGAGATGTAAGGTAAGATTGTGTTTTTTTTCCTTCTACTTTCATAAAGTCACTCTTCTACTATCAGGCTTTATCTCTTAATTTGGGTTTACTTAGTCTACTTACTCCTAAATATATCACGTGTATTTGCCTTTTTTGTTATACATAAAGTATGTCTTTTAGAGAGATATATTGAAATATTTTATATATATAAATATTTTACACTTAGTGTGCATATATATATATATACACATGTGGTCATACCACATATACAGACATATATATAATCACTTCATGTGTATAAAATCATAACCAATAATAATTCCTTAATATCAAATATCTAGTTTTAAAATGTTTTTAATTTTTAATTTTTTAAATAATTTTTTATTTTTATTTTTTTTAGTCGTGGTCTCTGAGACTTTGGTGCACCCATCACCCAAGCAGCATACTCTGTACCCAATGTGTAGTTTTTTATCCCTTACCCTCCTCCCACCCTTCCCCCTGAGTCCCGAAAGTCCATTGTATTATTCTTATGCCTTTGTGTCCTCATATCTTAGTTCCTACTTATGAATGAGAACACACGATGTTTGGTTTTCCATTCCTGAGTTACTTCACTTAGAATAATTTTGTCCAGGTTGCTGTGAATGCCATTATTTAGTTCCTTTTTATGGCTGAGTAGTATTCCATGGTGTATATATACCATATTTTCTTTATGTACTTGAGTGATGGACATTTGGGCTGGTTCCGTATTTTAACAATTGTGAATTGTGTTGCTATAAACGTGCCTGTACAAGTGTCTTTTTTGTATAATGTCTTCTTTTCCTTTGAGTAGATACCCACTAGTGGGATTGCTGGATCAAATAGTAGATTTACTTTTAGTTCTTTAAGGACTCTCCACACTGTTTTCCACAGTGGTTGTACTAGTTTACATTCCCACCAGCAGTGTAAAAGTGTTCCCTTTTCACCACATCCACGCCAACATCTTATTATTTTTTGATTTTTAGATTATGGCCATTCTTGTAGGAGTAAGGTGGTATCACATTGTGGTTTCGATTTGCATTACCTTGCTCATTAGTGACACTGAACATTTTTCCATATGTTCATTGGTGGTATGTATATCTTCTTTTGATAATTGTCTGTTCATGTCCTTAGCCCACTTTTTGATGGGGTTGTTTGTTTTCTTGCTGATTTGTTTTAGTTCCTTGTAGATTCTGGATATTAGTCCTTTGCCAGCTGTATAGATTACAAATATTTTCTCTCACTTTGTGGGTTGTCTGTTTAGTCTGCTGATTATTTCTTTTGCTGTGCCAAAGATTTTTAGTTTCATTAAGTCCTTCTATTTTTATCTTTGTTTTTGTTGCATTTGCTTTTGGATCCTTGGTCATGAGGTCTTTGTCTAAGCCAATGTCTAGAAGGGTTTTTCTGATGTTATCTTCTAGAATTTTTATGGTTTTAGGTCTTAGATTTAAGTATTTGATCCATCTTAGTTGGTTTTTGTATAGGGTGAGAGATGAGGATCCAGTTTCATTCTTCTACATGTGGCTTGCGAATTATCCCAGCACTATTTGTTGAATAGGTGTCCTCTCTCTACTTTATGTTTTTGTTTGCTTTGTCAAAGATTAGTTGGCTATATGTATATGGATTTATTTCTGGGTTCCCTATTCTGTTCCACTGGTCTGTATACCTATTTTTATATCAGTACCATGCTGTTTTGGCCTTATGATATAGTTTGAGGTTGGGTACTAAGATACCTCCAGATTTTTGTTGTTGTTGTTTAGTCTTGCTTTGGCTAGGTAGGCTCTTTTTGGTTCCATGTGAATTTTAGGATTGTTTTTTCTAGTTTTGTGAAGAATGATGGTGGTATTTTGATATGAATTGCATTGAATTTGTAGATAGTTTTTGGCACTATGGTCAGTTTTGCAGTATTGATTCTATGCATCCATGAGCACGGGATGTATTTCATTTGTGTTGTCTATGATTTCTTTCAGCAGTGTTTTGTAGTTTTCCCTGTAGAGATTTTTACCTCCACCTCCTTGGTTAGGTATAATTCTGAGTATTTTTTTTTTTTTTTTGCAGTGGTAGTAAAAGGGGTTGAATTCTTAATTGGATTTTCAGCCTGCTTGCTGTTGGTGTATAGCAGAGCTACTGTTTGTGTACATTAATTTTGTATCCTGAAGCTTTGCTGAATTCATTTATCAGTTCTAGGAGCTTTTTGGATGAGTCTGTAGGGTTTTCTGGGTATATGATCGTATCATATACCCAGACAGTTTGACTTCCTCTTTACTGATTTGGACGTCCTTTCTTTCTTTCTCTTGTCAGATTGGCCTGGCTAGGACTTCCAGTACTATGTTGAATAGAAGTGGTGAAAGTGGGCATCCTTGTCTTGTTCCAGTTCTCAGGCAGAATGCTTTCAACTTTTTCCCATTCAGTATAATGTTATCTGTGGGTTTGTTTAGATGGCTTTTATTACCTAAGGGGTGTCCCTTCCATGGCGATTTTGCTGAGGGTTTTAAACATAAAGCGATGCTGGATTTTGTCAACTGCTTTTTCTGCATCTATCGAGATAATCATGTGATTTTTGTTTTTAATTCTGTTTATGCAGTGTTTCACCTTTATTGACTTGCATATGTTAAACCATCCCTGCATCCCTGGTGTGAAACCCACTTGATCATGGTGGATTATCTTTTTGATATGTTGTTGAAATCAGTTAGCTAGTATTTTATTGAGGATTTTGGCATCTGTGTTCATCAGGGATGTCGTTCTGTAGTTTTCTTTGTTATGTCCTTTCCTGGTTTTGGTATTAGGGTGATACTGGCTTTATAGAATTATTTAGGGAGGGTTACCTCTTTCTCTGTCTTTTGGAAAAGTGTTAATAGGATTGGTACCAATTCTTCTTTGAATGTCTGATACAATTCAGCTGTGAATCTGTTTTGTCCTGGACTTTATTTTTGTTGGCAATTTTAAAATTACCATTTCAATCTTTCTGCTTGTTACTTGTCTGTTCAGAGTTTCTGTATCTTTCTGGTTTAATCTAGGAGGGTTGTATATTTCTAGGAATTTATCCATCTCCTCCAGGTTTTCTAATTTGTACACATAAAAGTGTTCATAGTAGTCTTGAATGATTTTTTGTATTTCTGTGGTATCAGTTGTAATATCTCCTGTTTCATTTCTAATTGAGCTTATTTGGATCTTCTCTCTTCTTTTCTTGGTTAATCTCACTAATAATCAATTTCATTTATATTTTCAAAGAATCTGCTTTTTGTTTCACTTATCTGTTTTTTTTTGTTTCAATTTCATTTAGTTCTGTTCTGATCTTGGTTATTTCTTTTCTTCTGCTGGGTTTGGTTTGGATTGTTCTTGTTTCTCTAGTTCTGTGAGATGTGACCTTAGATTATCTATTTGTGCTCTTTCAGACTTCATTTCCATCTTGATTTCATTGTTGACCCAATGATCATTCAGGAGCAGATTATTTAATTTCCATGTATTTTCATGGTTTTTGAGGGTTCCTTTTGGAGTTAATTTACAATTTTATTCTACTGTGGTCTGAGAAAGTACTTGATATAATTTTGATTTTCTTAAATTTACTGAGACTTGTTTTGTGCCCTATCATATGGTCTATCTTGGATAATGTTCCATATGCTGATTAATAGAATGTATATTCTGCAGTTATTGGGTAGAATGTTCTGTAAATATCTGTTAAGTCCATTTGTTCTAGGGTATAGTTTACGTCCATTGTTTCTTTGTTGACTTTCTGTCTTGATGACCTGTCTAGTAATCTCAGTGGAGTATTGAAGTCTTCCACTATTATTGTGTTCATGTCTATCTCATTTCTTAGGTCTAGTAGTAATTGGTTTATAAATGGGAGCTCCAGTGTTAGGTGCATATATATTTCAGATTGTGATATTTTCCCATTACAATAGTCTTTTCATTGTTATATAATGTCCCTCTTTGTCTTTTTTAACTGCTGTTGCTTTAAAGTCTGTTTTGTCTGATATAAGAATAGCTACTCCTGCTCACTTTTGGTGTCCATTTGCAAGGAATATGTTTTTCCATCCCTTTACCTTGAGTTTTTGTGAGTCCTTATGTGTTAGGCAAGTCTCTTGAAGACAGCAGATACTTGGTTGGTGAATTCTTACCCATTCTGCCATTCTGTATCTTTTAAGTGGAGCATTTAGGCCATTTATATTCAATGTTAGTATTGAGATGTGAGGTGCTTTTCTATTCATCATGCTGTCTGTTGCCCGAATACCTCATTTTTTTCATTATATTATTGTATTATAGGTCCTGTGAGATTTATGCTTTAAGGAGGTTATATTTTGGTATATTTTGAGGATTCGTTTCAAGATTTAGAACTCCTTTTAGGAGATTTTGTAGTGCTGATTTGATTTTGGCAAATCCTCTCAGCATTTATTATAAAAAGACTATCTCCTTCATTTACGAAGTTTAGTTTCACTGGATACAAAATTTTTGGCTGATAATTGCTTTTTTCCCAAGGAGGCTAAAGATAGGACCTCAGTACCTTCTAGCTTGTGTTTTTGCTGAAAAATCTGCTATTAATCTGATTGGTTTTCCTTTATAGTTTCCCTGATGCTTTTGCCTCATAGCTGTTAATATACTTTCCTTCGTCTTGATGTTAGATTACCTGATGAGTATGTGCCTAGGCAGTGATCTTTTTGTGATGAATTTCCCAGGTGTTCTTTGTGCTTCTTGTATTTGGATGTCTAGATTTTTATCAAGGCTAAGGATGTTTTCTTCAATTATTTTCTCAAGTATATTTTCCAAACTTTTAGATTTCTCTTCTTCCTTGAGTACACCAATTATTCTTAGGCTTGTTCATTTACCATAATCCCAGACTTCTTGGAGGCTTTGTTCATTTTTTTTATTCCTTTTTCTTTGTCATTGTTGGATTTGATTAATTTAGAAGCATCTTCGAGCTCTGAAGTTCTTTCTTCTACTTGTTTGATTCTATTGCTGAGATTTTCCAATGTATTTTGCATTTCTCTAAGTGTGTTTTTCATTTCCAGAAGTAGTGATTGCTTTTTATTTATGCTATCTATTTCTCTGGGGATTTTTCCATCCATATTCTTTAATATTTAAAAAATTTCATTAAGTTGGTATTTGCCTTTCTCTGGTGCCTCCTTGAGTAGCTTAATAATTGACCTGATTCTTTTTCCGGCAATTCAGAGATTTTTTTTCTTGGTTTTGATCCATTGCTGGTAAGCTAATGTGATTTTTTTGGGGGTGTTAAAGAATCTTGTTTTGTCATATTACCAGAACTGTTTTTTCTGGTTCCTTCTCATTTGGGTAGATTATGTCAGGGGGAAGATATTTGACTTAAGGGCTGCTGTTCACATTCTTGTGTCCCATAGGGTGCTCCTTTGATGTGGTGCTCTCCCTCTTCCCCTAGGGATAGGGCTTCCTGAGAGCTGGACTGCAGTGATTGTTACTGCTCTTCTCAGTCTAGCCACCTAGTGGAGATACTGGGCTCTGGGCTGGTACTGGGGAGTGTCTGCAAAGAGTCCTGTGATATGATCCATTTCCTGTGATGTGATCCATTTTCAGGACTCTCAGCAGTGGATACCAGCACCTGCTCTGGTGCAGGTAGCAGGGGAGTGAAGTGGACTCTGTGAGGGTCCTTGGTTGTATTTTTATTTAGCATACTCGTTTTCTGTTGGTTGGCCTCCAGCCAGGAAGTGGTGCTTTCAAGAGAGCATCAGCTGCAGTAGTATAGGGAGAATACAAGCTTGCCCTAGGGTTGCTTGGATAAGTATTTGGGTGTCTCAGGCTGTGGTTTGGGGCATAGAGTTCCCAAGAGACTATGTTCTTTGTCTTTGGCTACCAGGGCAGGTAGAGAGAGACCTTCAGGTGAGGGCAGGGTTAGGCATGTTTTAGCTCAGACTCTTCTTGGGCAGGGCCTGCTTCAGCCCCTGTGGGGTATGGGGTTGTGGTTCTCAGCCCAGTGGAGTTGTGTTCTCAGGGGGATTATGGCTGCCTCTTCTGCATCATACAGGTGGCCAGGGAAGTGGGAAAGGCCGCAGTGACAGGCCTCATCCAGCTCCAACGCAGCCTGAAAGGCTGGTCTCACTTTCACTGTGCACCCCAATAGCACTGAGTTTATTTCCAGGCAGCCGGTGAGCAGGGCTGAAAACTTGTCTCAGGCTCCAAGCCTCTCCACTGAGAAAGCAAGCAGCTTTCAGGATTTGTGCCTCCCCACCTGCCCCAGTTTCTGTGCTGTATCTTCTCTCCTGGGTCACCCCTTTCCCAGATTCTGTCCAGGAAACTTTGAGTTTACTTGAAATTGTTACAAAGTTCAGCTGGAAGTTTCCTTCTCCCTGTAGTCTTTCCCCAATTCTAGTGGCATCTCTCCCCATGGACCCCTCTGAGACAAAGTCAACAATGGCTTCCCTGGGGACCAAGAGTGCCCACGGGGCTCTTTCCTCTGCTTCCTCTATTCCTATATTTCGCTCATCTCTTATATTTGTCTCAGCTCCAGGAAAGGTTAAATCCTTCTCCCATGATCTGGACCTTCAGGTACCCCAGTGAGGATGTGTATTGGGAGGGGGGTGGATGTTTCCCCTTTTGCACTTTGGGCACTTACAGCTTTTCAACTGTCTTATGGAGTCTGCAGCAGCAAGCTGCTTCCTTCAAAGGGTCTGTAGATTCTCTGAGCTTTCCTGGTATGTTTCTGTGGTCATTCTTGGAGCAAAAGTTTACAAGTCTCCATATGCTGCTCTGAGTGGAGCCACAAGCTAGTCCTGCCTCCCATTTGCAATTTTTTTAAAAGCTCCCAGTTAGTTTTTAAATGAAAATTATTATTATATTCTGCAGAGACAAGAGTCTGACTGGGTCATCCAGGCTGGAGTGCAGTGGCATGATTGTGGCTTACTTCAGCCTTCAACTCCTGGGCTCAAGAAATCCTCCTGCCTCAGCCTCCCAAAGCCCCAGGATTATAGACCTGTGTTACCACACCTCTGCCCTCAGTTTTTAATTTGATTATTTCATATACTGCTTCCTCATTCTGTCTATTTTTCCCCCTGCAATTTTTTTTTGTTTGAAGAAAGCAGGTTTTTTTTTTTTTTTGCATTTTGCTAAATACTTTCCCATGGTGTAGTTCAACACATTGTATTGTCTTCTATATTTTCTGTAAATTATTGGATATATCTAGAAGCTTGATTAGATTTAGGCCCCCTCGCCCTTCCCCCTGCAAGACTACTTCAAAAGTACTATTGTATGTGCCACTTAAGAGACACATAATGTCTGGCTTCTTCTGTTTTTGTGATGTTAGCAAGCATTAAGTAATTATGCATGATTCACATTTGAATAATAATTCAAAACCAGAATGGACTAGAATTGCCAAAAACATCGTACAGCTGAAATTTTGGAATTTAGAGGAGGAAAAGCTAATTTAGGGCAAAACTGATCGGGAAAGTTTTATGGTGATAGTGGAGCTTAAAATAGGTCTTGAACAATGGGAATGATTCTGGTAAAAGGATTAGCCAGTTTTGGCTAAATTGTACAGTGATAGTAAATACTTAAAAATCCCAGGAGTTTACAACAGCAAAGGTTTATTTCTTGCTTCCATTTATATGCTTATTGTGGGCCAGTTGTAGTGTTGATCTACACCTTCATGTCAGAATCCAGGCTGATGGAGTAGCTTCTATTTGGGTTACTGCTGGTCTCATGTAAGAAGAAAAGGGACCATATTGGAACTAAGCAATGGTTTTTAAAGCTTCTGCTTGGAAATGGCACACGTTACTTCTCATGATATTAGCAAGCCTAATATTAACAAGATGGGGTGTGTAATTCTGCCATAGGGCCGGGCAGCAAGTATTTTGAAGAATATTCTGTCACAGGGATGTCTATTGTGGGTGAGAAGGGAAAGGAAAAGGGTATTCTGGGTAGGAAGAGACACAACTGCACAGAGGAGTTAGTGAGAAGTAGTTTTCAGGAGAATAGGTATACTGTCTGGATAGAAGAGTAGAGACTATCAAAACTAGAAAGGAAGAGTATAGTAGAGTTTAAATTAAAAACTCACATTCAGCTAATCTAGTCCATTGAAGGCTAGATTTCTGGATCAAGGAACTTGGAATGGAAAGCTCAATCTCAACAATGTCCAGTAGAAATACAATGTCAACCTTAAATGTAATCTACCTTTGTAATTTTAAATTTGCTAGTAACCACATTAAAATATTTTTTAAATGGTGAAATTAATCTTATTGTATTTTGGTTCAGTCACTATATCCCACTTAATATCCTGTTTTATTTGCTTTATTCATCAGTGTATTCATATCAACCAGTGAAGAAATGACAAGGAATTCTATAACATTTCACTATAAGTAGGGAAAGGATGGTTTAGTCTTATGGCTTGGCATTCCAAAGAGAAAGCGTTTTTGAATAAGGATGGAATAGTAATGATGTGCAAGCTAACATGGGGCTGTTTCTCCTCTCATGTTTGAGAACCAATGGTAAAAAAGAAAACGTGAGCCGTCTCCTCTTAAGAGGACTGCAAGGGAAATAGTGCAGTTATAGTGTGTTCCCTTAGTGGGAACATTCAATGAAGAGTATAGGAGCATTGGGGAGAGTTTATAGGAGTGAGAGTCCTCAAGATCACATTAGTTCTACAAGGTAGGATGACGTAAGGGAGCTTGTCTGCCTGGCAGAGCAATTGGATGGATACAAAAAGGATAGGCAATAAGGAAATGGAGAATTTGTGTCAGGGTCACTCTCAGAGACTCCTAAAGGAATTATGAAGGATCATAGGGATGAGGGAAAGTATTGAAAGGTAGGCAGAAGGAACTTTGATGGAGTGAATGTTCAGGAATCCTAAATAGATGTAAAGTAGCTTTTGTGTTATTGGGAGCTAGTATGCCAGGTAAGAAATGATCACTGGATAGGCTGGCTGTTTTGTGGCCATTATCCCAGATACATAGGGAACTAAATGAGACCCAAAACCTGAGTATTTAAATGAGAAGGCCCCAGAACAAGGTAGTGACATAGGGGACATTTCAAAGTAAGGATTTTTTTTTTTTTTTTTTGAGACGGAGTCTCACTCTGTCGCCCAGGCTGGAGTGCAGTGGCGCGGTCTCGCCTCACTGCAAACTCCGCCTCCTGGGTTTACGCCATTCTCCTGCCTCAGCCTCCTGAGTAGCTGGGACTGCGGGTGCCCACTACCATGCCCGGCTAATTTTTTTGTGTTTTTAGTAGAGACGGGGTTTCACCGTGTTAGCCAGGATGGTCTCGATCTCCTGACCTCGTGATCTGCCCGCCTTGACCTCCCAAAGTGCTGGGATTACAGGCGTGAGCCACTGCGCCTGGCCCAAAGTAAGGATTTATAGTTCTTGATGACTGGTTGTGATGAAGGAAGAGAAGTGGCTTTATCAACATGTATAAAAGCTCACTATTTCCTAGGTACTTTATATGCCTTATATTTAAGTCTTCCATAATCTTGCAAGGTAAATGAGATTAATTTCTATTTTATAGATATGGAACTTAAGTGTAGAGTATATAATAACTTGCTTAAGCTCACATAGTTAGTAAGAAGTAGAAACAGGACTAATTCAGATCTAGTTGACTCCAAAGCCCTTTAATGTTGGTTGTATATGATGTTGTCTCTCCAGAGAGGAGAGCGAAAGGAATTAAAAAAAACTAAGTTGTCAAACTTGGGGATTCATTGACAGAAATGGAAGAATCAAAGGAGGACATAGTTTTGTTGTGGAAAGGATAGATTTATTTTAGGCACCTTGAACTTGCAGTAATAATGGTATATCCATGTGGATATGATGAGGATGCAGTTAGAAATGTGAAACTTGACTCTGGGAGAGAATCAGGAGAGGAGATAAAACTGATGAAAGTGTGTATGGTTGATTATCTAAATATAGATTTATATTGTCTAAAGTAAGTTGGATATGAAAATACATCATTTGTTTAAAGATTTAGAAAAACCAGGCTTTGTAAAATTTTTGGCAAAATCTGATTATTATAAAGATTGCAATATATTTGTTTTTAGAAGTGATTGTCATGTATGCAGATGCATAAGAATTATTTATACATATATTGAAATATAGGTATATAATTATATACGTGTTTTTTAATATATACTAAAACTAATGTCCTACAAGGGGAATTCATATTATATTGTCTCTAATAACATTTCATGAGGGTCTTTGGACTCAAAACATTAATAATTGATGATTTTAATATGCAACATAATGTTCTGTCTCATAAATGAAAGGTTATTATACGTAAATATTGCAGTCATATAATAGTCTGGAGCTACATAGTTTACTAAATCTCCCTGTTTGGCTTCACTGGGTGTATTTCACTCATAGACTTTTAAATAAACATTTATTGAGAGCTTGCTTTGTGTTAAACATTTTTCACATGTGCTATGCTGTTAGTTCTCAAATGACCCTATTAGGTTTGAGTTTTTTTAATGACGATTACGCATATAATCTTTAATATGATATGTTAGTGATGATAATAGTGCATCTTTACAACACTTCAGAACATACACAGAAATTTCATATGTGTAATTCACATTAGTAAAAGTCATTGTGCTAAACATATCCTACACGCTACAGATTTCTGAAACTTATTTAATCCTTACAAACCTATTCAGAGGTATTATACTGTAGTATCATCAGTTTTATAGTGAGGAATGTGGCTCGTGTTGTTAAATAGCTTGGCCAAGATTACATGGCTAATCGGTGACAGATCACAGATGCCTTTAGGTATGCCATTACAATTAGTACTACTCAACCTAGGGCTTTATAAAGATTGTATACAGTAGCTAAAAGAAAATAAAATGTTGCATTAGTCCGTTTTCACACTGCTATAAAGATACTACCTGAGACTGGGGAATTTACAAAGGAAAGAGGCTTGATTGACTCACAGTTTTGCCTGGCTGAGGAGGCCTCAGGAAACTTATAATCATGGCAAAAGGAGAAGCAGTCACCTTCTTCACAAGGCAGCAGGAGAGAGACAAGTGAATGAAAGAAGAACTTGTGGCCAAACCCTTATAAAACCATCAGATCTCATGAGAACTCACTCACTATTATGAGAACAGCATGGGGGAAACCACCCACATGATTCAATCACCTCCCACCAGTTTCCTCTCTCAACACCTGGGGATTACAATTCAAGATGAGATTTGGGTGGGGACAGAAAGCCTAACCATATTAAATGTGAAAAACAAATGCCATCTTTACATTGGTATTACAATTAATGTTGGTACTTAGTGTCATTATAAAAATTATACCAGTATATGGTAAGAGTTGAAAGGTTTGCTTTTTCTTTTTTAATTTGTTTGGATTGTTTTACAAAATTGTGTTTAAAATACACAATTTGTTTGTTATGCCTAGAGGCACAGGATTTAACAGATAATCTCTAGCTGCCTTCCACCCCTCACTCACTAAGTATTTTTTGTGTTTACCCTTTCTGGAAAGAAATAGGAAATTATGGAAAATTATGTAATTGAAGGTATACCCACCAGGAAGTAATCAAAATGCCTAGGACCTTCAGGTACTCTCTTGCATTTTATACTGTACAGCTACTGTAAGATCTGTGGTATCTGTAAGGAAATAATACTGTAAAGAGAGAATATTTTAAAAATTTCTGGAGCATTTCAGCATGGTAGAGCAGATTGGAATGCCATTTCATATTTAAACATTTTTATTTTTAAAGCAAATACACAGACATATAGCTGATTTAATCTTTTTAAATCAGTCAAACAACAACTTGATTTAAAACAAAGGAGAATTTCTGATAGTCCTTTAAATAGTCTAAATAGAGGACATTCATTGATGTCAATTATGGGCATTTTTGAGCAAGCCCTAAAGCTGGAAGGGTATCTGCTCTTTCTTCATGTATTTTGAAGAAAAAAATAAGTTTGTAAGCTGGCAGAAATAAAGATACTAACTATACCTATAGTATTGGATATGTAACTACCACAACAGGCCTATGTTAAGCTGTGAAAGCTACTTATCTATGTACCATGTCTCTGCTGTACTTGTCCCCTCCTTGTTCCTATCTAGACCCTACCTCATTGGTGCCATCCCATTGGAGCCTTTCCTGCCTGATTAGGGCATTAGGCTGCAGATCTCCCAAAGTTCAGCCTTCTCTACATTTCAGATGCACATGTCTTGTTTTCCCCTTTCCTCACAGCTCTGTTGTATACTGTTTTCTGTTAAATTAATCCATTATTTTATGTTGATGTGTAATCATCTGTTATTCCTTTCAACCCACTTGGGAACTGAGGCAGCTGTAGTATATTTACACTAGTTTTGATTGAGGATTTGAATGGTAGCTCCGTCAAGCTGTGTGATCTTGGGACTGTTAGACGCTAACTTCACTGAGTCTCATTCTTCTCTTATGACAGATGCACAAATACGGGTTTGTTTCTAGGGTTAATTGTGTGTGTTATGCATGAAGTATTAGCATTAAGGCAGTTTAATGGTGTTATCTGGATATTCAAAAAGTTACTCGAATGGGAATTTCAGGTGCTATGGTTTGCTGGAGACAGAAGCATTTTTGAATGCACATCAAAAATATAGTCTGGTTCTAATATTAATCCTCTTGCAGTTACTACTCCTATTACTTTTTAAGAAACTGGGATGGAGTTTACAGAGAATTTACATTGGGATTGAAGTGATTTTTATAGCTGCAGAATCATAGTTTTTTCCAGATATTCTTTCAGTTATTTTGGTAATATGTGAGGATTCTAGATGTATTTGATTTAGAACTACAGTACTTAAGTTAAATAGTAAAACTAGTCAGAGGAAGCAGGGCCATTATGAGTTGAAATCTGTTAAGACCAGGAAAGTAAATACTTGAATGGTCCTTTCTTTGCTTCATGCAGGCATGCCTTTCTTTTTTAAAAAAGTTGACTTGAACATATTTTCATTTTGCTGGAAACATTCTATATCACTGAGGGGAAAATGTGCACTCTAGCACTCTCTATTGCAGCTCTGCAAAGCCCTGGGTAATATAGGGAAAATAAAACGACTGAGCAGGAAATTGACTAAGTGACCTTAGAGTTCTCTTATATCCTTTTTCTTCCCTGACAAACAAAATGAAATTGCCTTTTGGTATTCTCAAATACTGTGCTTAGGAAAGTCTAGATAAATGGATGGATAAAAACTTGATTAGAATTGCATTCTTGATTAAAGCATAATTAGAGAAGTTAAAATTATTTTTATTCGCTTCAGGTTTTATAATTCTAAACTGTTTAAAAGAAGCTTTTATTGCTTAAGGATAAATATGTTTTCATATTTTCTCTTAATATATTTATAAAATTGATGACATACTGTTTTAAGCAAGCTAAATATGCATATAGCAAAGGATTATACTTTTTGTCTTTGAGTCTTCCTATAAACTTTTCTTCCCTTAAATAAATTCTATAGGCTAGGTATAGCAAAGATTTATTATAAAAAAGAATAGGGGTTTTTTTTTTTGGTTAAATTCGTACATGTTTTTTCAGTACTTTGTGTGGTTAGAGGCATGAACTTGAATTAGACTGTCTAGGTTCAAATTCTGGCTCTCCATTTACCTACAATTGTTTTTAACAATTAAGTGAGTTAATAGTTGCAAAGTACTTAGTACAGTAAACACAATGTAGATGTATTTGTTAAAAAGTTACATCATGAGAAATTGGGTGAAAAAGTTTATAATAAAAATTACACAAATAATATAACAACTTTTATAAAAATTTTAAAAGTGTATAATTTCTATATAGTATTTGAATAAAGTATGAATTCAGTGGACAGTCTTAGATTTGGAGTTGTCTTAAATATAATATGTGCTTGGCAAGTTTTAGATGGATAACACCAAACACAAAAATGCTCATTAGTATTTTGTTTGTTGTTACGTTGCTATTTTACATAGCTTCTCCTCACATTTTCTAGATGTCTTGAAATATATTTCATTTGTTTTCTGAGTACTGATAAAAGATCCCTGAATCCCATCTCCCTAAAGATATGTCAGTTTGGCCATTTAGTTGTTAAAAACTGTTGAATTGATTTGCCTTTAGGAAGAACTATTTTAGATAGCTCAGCTCTTATTATCATAGGGCTAATGTAAAAATGTTAACAATATACCAAAGCTCTTTGGCTAGAAGGCTTGTTTCTTAGAAAATGGAATAAATAATTTCAAAACTCTTATGATTGAGACTGTTTTTCTGCCTCTTCTTGACATTTGTTGATAAAATTAGAATTACTCTAATGATTTGGCATTAAGTATAAACAATGCCTTGCAAAGCATTAAATATAGTTGGCAGTCATGCTAGTATATGCTGATGTTTTTTACAGATCTGTTTTTTTCCCTTGAGTGGCTGTATTATACATAGATCATTTCCTTTACCAGCAGGGAAGTGGTTTCCTAGAGGAATAAGTGACCCATCAAAATCTTCTGCAGATTTTTGGGGGATAGATGATGTTAGGTAGGCACTCCAGGTATCACACAAATATTTTCTTACTAAGAAATGTGAAGAAAGAAAGATTATAATTTGGAATAACAGATAACTCATGGTATAAAATACATTTAAAGTACATTGATGAATATAGGTATCATTTTGTTGTTTTCACGGGCAATGGTAGCATGTAAGAAAGTTAACTGTTCAAGTTTAGTAAGGCCTGGGACATTGGTATTCAATAAAGAAGAAATATTAACAAAAGATTTGGCTTTTAAAGAGTGCATTATGAAATAGAAATGTGTGAGAAATTAGTGTAAAATATTTTCAAAATGAATCTGCCACACAGTATGTGGAGCTCTGGAAACTCTCATATGCTGCTGATGGGAGTATAAACTGGTACAACCACTTAGAAAACAGTTTGGTAGGATCTATTTAAGTTGGGCATATGCATGCTCTATGACCTACTGCTAGGTATATGTACTTCCTCTGAATATGTACATATGTGCACCAAAGATGTGCACAAAAATGTTGAAACAGTATTTTTTAAATAATAGGTGGAAGTCGGAGTAACCCACATAACAGTCAACAGAATGGCATATTACAATGTAATACTTCACAGCAATGAGAATGAATGAAATATTGAGTTAAAGAAATGGGCAGTAAATAATATGTATCATATTATTTCGTTAATATTAAGCCCAGGAACAGTAAAAAACTACTCCATGTTGTTGGAAGTCAGAACAGGGTTTACTTTTGGGGAGGCATAAGATCTATTGATTGGGAAGGGGCAAGATGAGGACTTTGTGGTGGTAGAAATGTTCTGTTTCTTGATGTGGGTGATTGTTATATAAATGTGTTCACTGTGATATTTTATTGGTCTACATACTTATGATTGGTGTGCTTTTCTGTATGTATGTTACATCTACATAAAAAGAGTTAAAAATCAATCTGTTTCAATAACTCAAGAGATTTCTTATGTTATCTGGAATGTCCTTAGTAGAAGAGTAGTAGGATATAATTAAAGCGTTGAAGCAGGAGGAATTGGGCTTTTTTATTTTCCCTTTTTTTCTTAAGAAACTTGCTACCTACTAGTTTGGGGAAAATTATTTACCCACTTTAAACCTCAGGTATTTATCTGTAAATAGGGAAAATGATGTTTGTGAGGATCAACTGCATAGTTGATTTTCAGGTATTGTAAAATATGGTATAATTGCACCTGTTCTTATTAAATGAATCAAAGAAGTATCAAAGATTAGGGGTCATTACATTCAAAGAGCTGAACATCTGTAGGTAAAATACTGCATTCAAACAAGTAATTTTTTATGAAGAGCTGAACAGCAAACAAATATGTTGTTAAAGACTGTGCTGAAAGGCCCGTGTGTACTGGCTTTTTCCTCATTATGTGTAAGCATTCTTAACCATCTCTCATCTATAGAACAACAAATCAATTTCTCAAGTAAGCATCACCTCTGGCTACTGCCTTATAACAGAACTTTTTGAAAGTCTATACTTGTGATTTTTTTTCTCTTCACTTACCTCCCTCAACTTTCCATCCATCGTCTACACCCATCACTATAGAGAAAATACACTCTCTAAAGTTAATAATTACCTTCTAAATATGTTTCTCAGGCCTTTATTTCTTGAGCTCTCTCTAGCATTTGCCACTGTTGTTTATTCTGTCTTTGAGTCACCTTCCTCTTGGATTCGTTTCTAATAAAATGATTTATTTATTTTAAAAAATAATTTCAATTTTTATTTTAGATTCGGGGATACATTGTGTAGGTATTTTACAAGAGGGAATGTGGGGCAGGCGGGGAAGGGTTGAAAAACTAAGTGTTGGATACTATGCTCATTACCTGGGTGACAAGATTATTCGTACTATAAACCTCAGTATCATGCAATATACCCCTTGGCTTCTATAACATATTTCTCCCAAGCATGTAGTACTGTAGTTGGGCAAGAAGTGCTGGTTGAAAGATAGAATAAGTGATTTTTCTCACAATTGTCTGTGTTTTTTGCCTTATCCGATGACTTCTCTTTCTCTATCTTGGTGTTTCCAGGGTTCTATTGTTAACTCTTTTCTCTCAATCTATGTGCTCTTTTTGAATGATGCCATTTAATCTTTTGTTTCTGCCTCTGCAGTGATTGCTCCATGTCAGACTCCACTGCTGAGTCTCAGACTCATTTATAAATGTCTTTTATGGTTTTTGATACCCTTTCATAAGCTGCTTTTGTTTCAATTATGTAATATCTTATATTTCTGTTGGTTTCAATTGTTAACTGTAAAAAATCACAAAGTCTTTATAAATTTGGAGAGGAGACTTTATTTCTTCTAAAGAGTTACAGCCTGCAAGGTGGCCATACTGCAGGCTGGGAAGTGTGCCTCTGGCAAAGACCAAAGATAGGCACCTGGAAGCAGGAGGGGTTTTGGGGTGGGAGTTTGTGCTGAACAATTTGGCTAAATATACATGTTCAACAGGTTACAGGAGGAGCTATGAATATTCATGAAGGTAGTCCTGATGCATGTGTATTGAACAAACACGTATGTTACATAAGACCTATGTTCACCCTGGGTAGAGACTTAACATTTAAATGTGTTACAGTTAAGCTCTCTATGTCAAAAGGTCTTTTCAGGACATGAAGGCTCTCAAAGATGCAGTCTCTGTAAACTGCCCAGAACCAGTCCATGGCTGGTGGTCTTCTGTACGAGAAAGTTACTGAAATCAGTCCCTTGTCCAATGAAAACTGTAGTTATGGTTAGTCAGTTAGTCAGAATCTGTGAGCTGGATGAGCTGTAATTGTTTTAATATTGCTTATCTCAAGGGCAGTGCTTGTTTAGCTGCTAGAGAACAAGAAAAATCTTGTGGCAGTTAGAACATAGTTTATTCGTTAAGTATAGGAGTGCCTGACTTTACCCTTGCCTGGCATGGACTTAGGTCCCGTATATAATTTGGTATCTTACTGCCATAGAAGAGTCTGCTCTATCAGTCTCATGATCTCTATTTTAACAATGCCAGTCAGTTGTGTCTAAACCCCAAAAGAGGGAGAGTATAACAAGCCACATTGGACCTGTCCCGTCATGGCTGGGAACTCAGTTTTAAGGTTTTAAGGTTTTTCTGGGGTCTCCTGGGCCACAGGGAGCCCATTCAGTCAGTGATTGGGACTGGGAGTCACAGTGAAATGCATACTGCAAAGCCAGGTATGCATAACTGATCTATGGTTATAGCACAATATTTTAAAATCTTTTCTTTATGAACTTCTGCAAGTATGAAAAAAATCAAAAAAATGTTCATGATCAAAGTAGATGTATTCAAAGTACTGATTAACCTAAATTCTAATCTTACTAATGTTACGGGATGCTTGGGGTGTTGCTTTGCCAGCTGGAAACCTCTGTAGCCAATGGCACCTTTGCCTGAGTTTTTTTGGCCAAGCAAAACTAGGGCAAAGATGCCACTGGCCACTTCACCTGGCAGGCTGCCTGTGACTTGTGCTACTGGCCTGGATCCCATGCCTGCCAAAGGTGAGTAGAGCAGCGAGCGGTGTGTGAGCAAGTGAGCATGGGGTCCCACCACTGTGCACAGCCAGGCATGCTGGCTGCAGTGGGGCAGGCAGCACAAGGTGCTGGCTCTCTGTGAGGCTGTAGCTGGATTAGGTGTACCACAAGCAGCTTCCTTGTCTGGCACTGGAGAATGCATTGGTGCCCAGAAGCTTGGAGACGTCAGGAACTGCAGAGCCCCAAAGAGGGTGTCACAGTTCTGGTTTGGAGAGCTCCTAAGTCTGGGCTCCTCAAAGTGCTGCAGCTCTTCTCTCCTTCTTGTTGCCTGCAACATGGCGAGTAAGGGGCGTTTTTCAGCCCTGTTTGTATTAAGCTCTTTCAGCCCTGCCATTTGGCAGGTCCCAAGTTCTTGTCCCATGTCCAGGAAGAATGAGGTATGCAGACAAGTGGAGGGTAAACAAGGCAAAGAGGAGCTTTATTGATAGATAGAACAGCTCAGAGGAGACTTGCAGTGGATAGCTCTTATTCATAGCCAGGCTGTTCTGCTGAGTGCTCAGCTCTCATGAGAGAGGAGATCCAGGAGTGGGTAACTCTTCTCTGCAGCTGTTTGCCCCAATGTCTCTCAACTCTCAGAAGAGAGGAGACCCTGGAGTGGGTAGCTCCTCTCCATAGCTGGTCGTCTGGATACCTCTTAGCTCTCAGCAGAGAGGAGACCCTGGAGTGGGTAGCCCCTCTCCACAGCTGATTGTCCTGACGTCTGAGTCTGGGGTTTTTATGGGGTTCAGAGGGGATGAAGTGCATGTTGATTGGTTCATGGGCGGCCACCAGGTAGCCCCAGAAAAAGCACCGTAAGTCCCCACTCTGGTCCACGGGACTGGCAGCCTGGCTCCCAGGCTTCAGGCCCTCCCCAGCTTGAAGGTGGGGCTTCATTGGGGACCCACCCCTTTCTGCCCCAAGCCTTTCTGCTTCCTGCTGCTGTTCATGGTGCCCAGGCTCTTCATGCTGAGGGGGCGCCTGTAGGCCAGTGCTGAGCTGCCCTCAGCACCCCCTTGGCCTCTCTTCTGTGTTTGTTGGCACCCAAAGTCTGCAGGGGGCCAAGGTGGCAGGGGGCTGGTGTGTCAGCACTGCCCTGAGCATGCACATACCCAGCTGTGCACAGGGAGCACAAAGCTCCCACTCTGTCAACTCAGAAGGGCAGAGGGCTTCTACCTGTCCTTGGCTCCTGCCAGCTCTGTGGAGCGCAGCCCTGGGCACATCTCCCCCACTGCACCTGGCACCATGGCAGCAGGGGCTCTAGATGGGCCACTGTTGCCATCACTAAGTTTCACGTAGTGTTGGGATACTACTTAATTTTGAACACATCTTAATGATCACCATTCAACTGTATTCACTATTTTTAGTGACCTTTCTCTTCAAAAAATTCTCACATTAAGAAATACCCGTAGTGGACACAAAACAGTACTTTAGCTGCAACAGTGATATTCACTAAACATTTAATTAGTATCTTTGACATCAAGAGTTACGCTCTGGATCCCTGGTGAAATCCAATGAGTTTCATGTTTGAAACAATTGAACAAATGATTTTGAATTATAAAAGGGGAAATTTAAGGAACACATAGAGGAAGAAAATCCTTCTGGTAAAGATTACAAAATAGATAAAAGAGCCAAAGGATATAATCCATTTATCAGATTTATTTACCAGATTGTCCCCAGGCTAGATTAGGAAATTGGTTTAGTGGTTTACTTAATTATAATAGCACACATTTATTATCTGCCCAGCACAACTCTGTAAAGTTAATGCGATTATTATCTTGATCAGGAAAGGAAGGCGCAGAGATGTTAAATACATTACCATCTAGCTAGTCATTGGTGGAGCTATGATTTGAATGCAGACAGCCTGTATCCATTGCTTTCATATTTATATATAGATGTGTGTGTATATATATATTTATATACATATATAGTGTGTATATATTAAATATTTTTAGTTTAAAATGGAAATAGTAAAATGCCTCTTATCTGGAGCAGTCTGAATCCATAGTTGTTTAGTTAATTGGAAAGGTCAGTTAAAGCAATGAATCATAAAAATGGTACATACACACTTTAAGACATATAAATATATACTCATTCTCTAATCTTTGGATGTAGGACTAAGGCATTCCTTTTGGTATTATTCTGACGATTGGAATTCCATATTGTCTTTTTTGCATAAACTACAAAAATAATGCATTGTCTACATTTTCCAGGTTTGCTTTCTTCAAAGTTGAGCTAGAATATGAAGACACTTATAAAGCAAGCGTGTACAGAATCCTTTGAGATTGTTATAATTTTATAAGTGTTTTGCAGTTCCCTGTTCTGCCTTTAACCTAACAATTTTTAAGCTACTTGCCTTCACCTTCTTAAAATTTCCAGAAGCATTCAACTTTGTTTCTTCATAAGTGGCCTTCTTTCATATTAGTAATTAAATAGTTTATGTAATACTCAATTAAAGTAATTACAATACCAAGTGCAAATGACATAAATAAACCTGGTATCAGATAAAAGTGAACTCTTAGAAAACAATATAAATTGGTACTAGCAGAAGTACAGGGCATACTTGAGAACAGCTTTTATCTTTGAGCAGTTAATATGCCATACAATTAGCCAGAGTGTTTTACAGAGGATATGGAGAATACCAGTTTATCTTGAAGTTAAGAGTTGATTAGCTTTAAAAGTGTCTATTTATATATCCAAATCAATTGAAAGCGGGATCTTGAAGAGATATTTGCACACTCATGTTCACAGTAGCAGTATTCACAATAGCCAAGAGGTGGAAGCTATCCAAATGTTCATTGGGAGATGAATGGATACACAAAATGTGGTATATACATACAATAGAATATTACTCAGTCTTAGAAAGGAAGGAAATCCTGTCACATGGTACAACATGGTGAACCTGGAGGACATTATGATAAGTGAAATAAGCCAGTCACAAAAAGACAATACTGTATGATTCCACTTATATGTGGTATTTAAAGTAGTCAAATTTATTATTAAAGTAAAATGGTGGTAACCAGGGGCCGAGGGAAGGTGGAAATGGGAAGTTGTTTGATGGGTAGAGAGTTTCAGTTTTACAAAATTTAGTTTCAGTTTTGCAAAATGAAAAAGTTCCGGAGATCTGTTGCATGATAATATGAATATATCTATCACTAGTGAACTGTACATAGACTTAAAAATCATTAAGATGTGAAATTTTATGCTATGTGTTTTTACTAAAATTAAAGATAAAAAATTTCTGCTATGTGATTGACCCTTGAACAATGGGTTAGAGGCGCTGACAGCCCCACACAGTCAAAAATCCACATGTAACTTTAGACCCCCCCAAAACTTTACTCATAGCCTACTGTTGACTAGAAACCTTACCAATAACATAGTCAATTAACACATATTTTGTATATATATTATATACTGTATTCCTACCGTAAGTTAGAGAAAAGAAAATATTATTAAGAAAATCATAAGGAAGAGAAAATACATTTATAATACTATACTGTATTTATCAATACCCCAAATTTATGTTGTCTGTTTACAAGATGAATCATCTTTCTGAAATGGATAACCACAGCTGTAGACTTCAATGTATGGTACATACCAAGCAATTAATTTTTTTTTGTAGTGTCATGACTTTCCTCTGCTTCTTGGGAGCACTTCCAGCATCACTAGTGGCATTCCACATGGGTCCTGTGTTGTTATTCAAAGTTTATGGTATTGCACTAAACGAAGAAAGACTATTTTTTAATGCAATATGCTTTACTGGAGAGATGAACTGCTCATGCAGAGATGATTAGTGTCACACAGTGTTTTAAGCAGATATTTGCAACCCTTGAGCTCACCACAAAAGCAACAGGAAGTGGTTATTATTACAGTAGTACAGTATGTACTACTGTTAATTTTATGCAGTTATGATTTAACACTGCATTTTTATAATTGCTTACATTTTTTCCTGTGAATATACCATGTAATGTCTATAACAGGTTGTAAGTTTTTTTTTTTTTTTGAGGCGGAGTCTCGCTCTGTCGCCCAGGCCGGACTGCGGACTGCAGTGGCGCAATCTCGGCTCACTGCAAGCTCCGCTTCCCGGGTTCACGCCATTCTCCTGCCTCAGCCTCCCGAGTAGCTGGGACTACAGGCGCCCGCCACCGCGCCCGGCTAATTTTTTGTATTTTTAGTAGAGACGGGGTTTCACCTTGTTAGCCAGGATGGTCTCGATCTCCTGACCTCATGATCCACCCGCCTCGGCCTCCCAAAGTGCTGGGATTACAGGCGTGAGCCACCGCGCCCGGCCAGGTTGTAAGTTTTGATATATTTTAACTTTTTATAACAAATTTGTATGTATTTTACAGTAGTAAATTATAAAAGATACTTGTATCTACCTATATTTTATGCATTCATGGCATACCTAACTTTTTCTTAATTTAAAAAATATTCTAGGCCACATTGTTCATCTATAGGTTTTTAAAAAATTGTCACAAATCTTCAAAAAATTTTTCAATATACTTACTGAAAAAAATCTGTATATTGTACCCACACAGTCCAAACCCATGTTGTTGAAGGGCCAACTGTATGTTATTTTTTGAGCTTTCTAATGGCTCACATGTGTTTTATTAAAAATTCAGATAATACAGAAAATATGAATAAAATAAAATCACCCAAAATACATTTTCTTTAGTATAACCACTGTTAATATTTTGGTATATATTCTTCTATTCCTTTACCCATGCATATAGGTGTCTGTGTGTATGTGTATACACAGTATATCTTAAAATGTATATTTTAACTAAAATGGTATATGTGTGTTCATTTGTAACTAGTTTCTGGAAAATATTTACCTGTTTATTCTGAATATCTTTCCATATTCTCACATTGTCATCATGTTTATGACTGAATGTTCTCTACAGTTTGGATATACTATAACTACTGTAACTACTATTTTAAATTGTCCCTATTGTTGGGCATTTAGGGTTTCACAGTTTTACTTTTTATAAACAACCCTGAAATAATTTTTTTTGTTGTTTATTTTAGTGATAGGGTCTCTCTCTGTTGCCTAGGCTAGAGGGCAGTGGCACAGTCAGAGCTCACTGCAGTCTTCAACTTCTGGGCCCAAGTGATTCTCTGGCCTCAGTCTCCTAAGTAGCTGGGACTACAAGTGCATACCACTATACCTGGCTAATTTTTTTTTGTAAAGACAGGATCTTGCTATGTTGCCCAGGGTGGTCTCAAATTCCTGGCCTCAAGCAATCCTCCTGCCTTGGCCTCCAAAGTTCTAGCATTACAGGTATGAGCCACTGCATCTGACCAATTATTTGTATGTATGTTTGTGTTTGTATAAACAAAAAGTAGTGGCCATCAAAGTTCCAAAAGAAATTATTTTCAACCTAAAATTCTATGTCAAGCCAAATTTTCAGTCAAATTTGAAGATAAAGTCATTTTCAGGCACGTTGAAAATCAGAATGTGTATCTTTGAGGCTTCCTATCTCAAAAGTTGCTTAAGGATATGTACCAGCAGAATTAAAGAGAATATGCAGAAAGAGAAAAGTAGATTTACTCTTAGATGATAGTGAAAGAGAATTGGAAGATAATGGCTAGGCAGCAGGCCTAGAGAATGATCAGTCCTGATTAGAGCAGAAAGATAGAAGGTTATTGGAAGAATACCTTTGAAGAAAAAAGGAATATCCCTAACCATCTATGCAGTGGATGGATAGACAGGCTGAAGTTTTTTGTGTGTGTGTGTGACAAAAATTAGCCAATTGAAAACAATAGAAATAAAATAAATGTAGCACAAATAATATTTTAAAATGAAGTGAAATAAAACGTGGTATTATTTAAAGCAATTGATGGAAGGTGAGAGAAGAGAACACATTTTACTATTGTACAGAAAATATTCTCCTTCAGATGGTCTATGGGCTGTGGCATTGGAGCCATAAAAAAGGAAATGCTGTCCTCACATACCGTCTGGTCCTTCAGTGAACTGTTTTTCTGTTTTGAATGGTGTTGATTGATTGATAACCAACTTTTAGACATAGCATGAAAGTTTATTATGTCTACAGAAGATAATATAAAAGTAGAATAGTGTAAAATGAGAGTTGAAGCTCATGGAAGATGGGAGGTGAAGCTCATGGAAGATGGGAGGTGAAGTCCATGGAAGACGAGAGGTGAAGCCCATAGAAGATGGGAGGTGAAGCTCATGAAAGATGGGAGGTGAAGCCTCTGGAAGAAGGGAGGTGAAGCCCATGCAAGATGGGAGGTGAAGCTCATGGAATTTGGGAGGTGAAGCCCATGGAAGAAGGGAGGTGAAGCTCATGGAAGATGGGAGGTGAAGTGAATGAAAGATAGAGGGAAGAATAAGGAAAATAATATCTTCATCTGACAGTGAAGAGAGTTGAAAAAACTATTAAAGAGACAAGAATTAGAAATATGAGTTAATATTTAAGATTATAAAGGTAACTTATAATTATAAAAATATTGGCAAAGGGAAGTATGTGTGTATATTGAGTAAATTGGCTAAAGACTAATCTTTTACAGAAGGATATCATCACAATGTATCTTCTAAATTGATTAAGTTAAGAAATTGAGATGGATACATACTATTTAGAGGGATGGAGGAGATGGTTTTAGAAGAACTAAAGTCAGAAATGGTTGAAAGAGGACTGCGTCAGGGATGGAGAATAGTGGACCTGCCTGTCAGTATTTTAAAACTATGTATATATGTTTTGCTTGTTAAAATTACAAAGTAGCATAGGAATTTTATATTCCTTAAAGGATTGTTTGACATCATTATAAAGCTCTGTGATGCTGATGCCATTTTGTAGCACAAGTTTAAGTAAATCTGGAGGTGCTTTATTTTGAGCTTTTCAAGCTGTGATATTACATGAGAAAGTGTTCTCTATACTTAATCAGAAAATGGCTCAGGGTTTCCAAAACTGAGGACAGTTTTACCTGAATTACAAAGATGAAAAAAATGGGCTACCCAGTGATTTTCCTTGTTAGAGTTAGTTTCCCTTTTTCGAACTATCATGGCATTTTATTTATAATCTCTACTAGGATATTTATCAATATCTATCTAGTGCAGTTATTTATATCAATATACATTTTAACCCCCAAAGTGCATGGGTACAGGGAAGCCATTAATATGGTCCAATAATGTAACCAATCTGCTAGAATACCAAATACATTGAAAAAAGTGCTATGCATATGCTTCAACATAGAAAAGATGACCTGGGAAGACTTGTCTGAGGAAAGAATGAATGAACAAAAATTCTACAATTAAAATTAAAAAGACAAATAATGAGAAATTCTAGTTGTTAGTTGGCTCAATTTTCAGAAGCCCTTCCAAAGTGAAGCCTGTTTGTCTCCTCTAATGTGTCACATAGAAGGAACTGGTGAAATTAGCAGGTGGCTGGGATGAGCCCAGGCAGGTCATCTTCACAGCCAGATTCAAGCCAGTTCTCTTAAACAGACATAACTGACACCCCTTACCCTGCCTTTCAATGCGCGCATTAGGAAGACTGTGAAGACATGTTAAATATAAGAAACAAAAGTCAAAAAAGTTACCATGGCTTTGCTTTTTGCTTTAGTACTTGCAGCAGCAGTAGTAGGAACAATAATGGTCTTAGTAGTAGTAATAATAATAACAGAAGCTATCAGGCAGTGAGCACCAAATGTGCAGAAACCGTGCTAGGCATTATAGACAAAATATTGTTAATCTTTCATTGATCCTATGAGGTAGGTGTTATCTTTGTTTTACAGGTTTAGAGGGGTTAAGTATCTTGCTTAAAATATTATAGAGTGTAAATATTAGAGCTACGATTTCAAATGTGGTCTCTTTGATTACAAATTCTGTGATATTTCCAATATGGGAAGTGGTAAGACAGGAGCGTGCAAACCTCAAGAGTCTGGATCTTAGCTCTGTAGGCTGGGAGAAAGTGTTAAAATTTTAGATAGGTAGAACCTTTCCTGACTATTATGTCAAGTCACTTGCTGTGGAATTTCATTGGTTACTTGCTGGCCATTTTCTGAGCATTGATCTGATGTACTCAAGCCTTTGGGGAATTTTTTATACTTGCCTTGAATTTACACCATTTATGCAAAGTGGTAAACTTGCAGAACTGTTTTCACTGCATGCAAATTAGTGCTTTTCCAAGCAGTCGAATGGTACAGAGTTTGTATGAGATTTTATTATGAAATAGAATTTCATTATACCCAACAGTACTGTATTTAAGGGCAGAGTTGCAATTAAGTTTATAACTGCCACTGATTTTGCAATGTAAAAGGTGTTCTTAATATTTTATCTTGTTTTCTGTAACCATTATAAAATCAAATATGTAAATATGCTTTAGAATAGTAATTGCATTTCAAATTTGAATTTGTTTTATGCAGTTATTTAATCTGAGTTTCATTAAAAGAGAATAGTTTCTATAGCAACTACCACATCATTTGATATCTTTGGAATCTCTGAAATATGGAATACTTTTGTTAAAAATGTATATAATGTATGATGTAGACTTCTATACAGGTTTAGATATTTACAAAAATATTTCCTGCATATTTATTTTTTCCAGGTTTTGTGAATTTCATTCTTTCTATTCCAGTGTTTTTTCCCTTAAAAATTTAAAGCATATGTATTTAAAAATAAAATGTCAAAAGAATTCAATGAGGAGGTGGATATTGGAGAGGATGGTAGGAGTTAAGTGTGAACTTCTTTCTGAATGAACTCCATCAGCACACATGTTACTTCCTTCTAGGAGAAAACCTGTTAGTTTATCTCTTTGGAGATATCCTATTAGGGTCATGAAAATCATTTCTAGAAAAAGATGATGACATGCTATAGCATCCTGAGAACTGCAGTTAAAAGAAAATAGAATGCTAGATCATCAGTACCAGATTTCTGTTCCTAGGCTTTATTAATACTTTGATTTTTAAAAATGCAGTGCTAAGAAATACACACTGCTCTTGTCACTTACCAGCTGAAGAAAGACTATTTCCACACCTGAGAATAAATATTGCTTTCTGAAATCTATTCCTTTAAGTTCTCTTTATATTTGGCCTCATTTATTTCAATGGCTTTGTCTAAGTTATAACCTCTCATTGCTGCTAAACATTTCCTTAAAGTTTATGTCCTCCATTTATTTGTATTTAGTTATTATGATCTTTTATAAATCACCTGGTTTCACCATACATATTTTATTTATTAATATTTTCTCATAAATCACTCTCATTTTTTCTCACGATCACTTCTGTTTCCCCTCATTGAGCTTCCTATAACTTGTCTACATGTTTCTGGTACTATGGGGCACTAAGTTGAAAGCAATGAAACTTTCTTATGTATCATAGCTCTCCTATCTAATATTCTTTTTAAGAGTCTAATCAAATCTCAAAAATGTGTTTTAAAGAGTCCACTTAAGATGGCTTCATAAGACATATTCTTGCAAGTAATATACAGAAGTTAAAACATTTTGCTGCCATAGTAATAAAAAAGTTATCTTTCTTTCATGAATAATTTTGTTCTACTCATTTGTTTTAGCGTTCCTACCAATAAATAATTATTATTTCTCCACTCTGCAGTACTGTTAGATATCTCTTATTCCCTTCCTCCAGTCTGGTAAAATCCTCAGTACAGAAAATTCAATAAAATCATGTTAAAGTATCACTAAAAAATCCTTGTCCTATGCAGGCATTTTCTGTAATGCTCTTAGGAATATAAGATATAAATGTAAATGATTGTATAGATCATATATATAATGATATACAATATATAATATGATATATAACAATATCATTTCTATATAATATACAATATCATTCATATACCATATAATTATTTATGATATATATAATATATATGTATAATAGATAATCCATATATAACAATATATAGGATAATATATAACAATATATAATTATATATGTAAAATAGAGAAATCAAGTATAATATTTTAAAACATTCTAATACTCTTACACGTATACTCTAAATCAGTATTTCCCAAAGAATTTTTCTGCAATTATGGAAGTGATCTACTATATCTGAACTATTTAACATAGTAGCTGCTAGCCATGTGTAGCTATTGAGCATTTGAAGGGTGGCCATTGTGACTGAGAAACTGCATTTTAAATTTAAATAGTCACAGGTATGTAGTAGCTACCATATTAAACAGCACAGCTCTAAATGATTGGAATTATGATCAGTTTATTAGCTGACCTGTTACACTAGGGCTGCTGTTTATGGTTGTGCAGGTGGTTTACTTTACAAGGGGTTGCAGGCAAGGGGTGAGTAAGGGCAAAACCTAGCCTGTGTTTGGCTTGCCAACCTGTGAACCCTGGCAAAGAGCTGTATCCACTCAAAGGGCACCTGTCTCTAATTCATACAAAGGCACCTTATGGGCTGGCAGTGGCCCTGTGCACCACTATCAGGTGGTGGTTTTCACTTCAGGTCTTGGTTCTGCCACTTAATGGCCATGTGATCTTGGGCAGGTTAGTAACCTCTCTGGGCCTGATTTCCTCCTCTAAAAAATGGAGATAATGTTACTTACTTTATAGAGTTATTGTGAAGATTAAGCAACATAATATATGTGAAGTATTTAGAACATATGTACAGTAGTCCCCCTTTATCTGTGGGGGATATGTTCTAAGATCCCCAGTGGATGTCCGAAGCATGGATAGTATTGAACCCTATATACACTATGTTTTTTTCTTCTACGTACATACCTACAATATAGTTTATAAATTAGGCACAGTAAGGGATTAACAACAACAATAATATGATAGAACACTTATAACAATAAACTGTAATAAAAGTTATATGAGTGTTGTCTCTTTCTCAAAATGTCTAATTGTACTATACTCACCCTTCTTGTGATGGTGTGAGATGATAAAATGTCTGTGTGCTCTCGAGCTCCTAGGCCTAAGCAATCCTCCCATCTTGGCTTCTTGAAGAGCTTGGATTACTACTCAGCCATAAAATAATGAAATCATTTCTTTTGCAGCAACATTGATGGAATTGTAGGCCATTATCCTCAGTGAAATAACTCAGAAAACAAAATATCAAATACCACAGGTTCTCACTTATTAGTGGGGACTAAACAATGGGTACACATGGACATACAGAGTGGAATAATAGGCATTGGAGACTATGAAAAGTGGAAAGGGTGGGAGGGGTGTGAGGGTTGAAAAACTGCCAATTGGGTACAATGTTCACTGTTAGGGTGATGAGTACACTAAAACACCACTAGGCAATATATGCATCTAAAAAACCTGCACTTGGGCCGGGCGTGGTGGCTCATGCCTGTAATCCCAGCACTTTGGGAGGCCTGGATCATGAGGTCAGGAGATCGAGACCATCCTGGCTAACATGGTGAAACCCCGTCTCTACTGAAAATACAAAAAATTAGCCGGGTGTGGTGGCAGGCACCTGTAGTCCCAGCTACTCGGGAGGCTGAGGCAGGAGAATGGCGTGAACGTAGGAGGCAGAGCTTGCAGTGAGCCGAGACCGTGCCACTGCAGTCCAGCCTGGGTGACAGAGCGAGACTCCGTCCCTGCAAAAAAAAAAAAAAAAAAAAAAAAACCCAAAAAAACCCTGCACTTGTACTTAAATATATAAAAATAAATAAAATTTTCAAAAACGCTTGTAAGATGAGATGAAGTGAATGGCTCTGCATCATTCATTTCAGGGGATCCCTTAGTGAAGTCTTCATATAGGCTTAGTACTTTCTGATGCCACATGTTGCCATCAATTGGAACATTTTTTTCTTTCATTTCTTCCACTCACAAATTTAATGCCTTTTCCATTTAACGAAGCATTTATCACACATTGTGGCTGTATCCTTTGTAGTTTAAGGTATGACAGCAAAATTAGCTCAAATTTCTTTTTCTCTTCATAGTTTCAGCTAGAAGATTCCTTCTTCCCGCAATTCTTAGTGACCTCACCATGTGATTTCTTTTTTCTTTCCTTATTAAGCTGAGAACTTTCACCTTCTTATTTAAAGGAAGCTCTTTATGACTTCTTTTTGGCATTTTATGATTTCTTTTTATCTGAATTACCAGCATCACTATTCTTGTGCTTTGGAACCATTATTAAGTAAAATAAAGATTACTTAACACAAGTACTGTGATACTGCAACAATTGATCTGATAACTGAGATAACTACTAAGTGACTAATGGGCAGGTAGCATATATAGTATGGTATGCTGGACAAAGGGATGATTCATGTTCCAGGTAGGACAGCACAGGACTGCGCAAGATATCATTGTGCTACTCAGAACAGCATGTAATTTAAAACTCATAAATTGTTTCTGGAATTTTCCATTTAATATTTTTGGACTAAGGTTGACAGGGTAACTGAAACGCCAAAAAGTAAAACCACAGATAAAGGGGAACTAGTGTAATGTGTTCAAAAATTTTATCAATTATATTTAAATAATCCAGTACTTTAATGTAGTAAATTTCTATAGCATCCTCACACTCATTCAACTTTGCCTACTTTGTATCAGGACAAGGAGATAAAAGGCAAATAACACTCATTCCCTGCGTTAAAGAGGCTTACACTTGATTAGAGATGAATAGTTTCAAGGAGTTATATAACTTTGAAAATTAGCTTACTGTCACATTATAACTTACGAAGTGATTTGGAGAGTTGAGGTAATATCTCACTGTCGTTTTGACTTGCATTTCCCTGATGATTTATGATGTTGGGCACCGTTCTGTTTTTTTTTTTTGTTTGTGTATGTGTGTGTGTGTGTGTGTGTGTGTGTGTGTGTGTGTGTTTTGTTTTTTTTTGAGTCGGAGTCGTGCTCTGTCACCCAGGCTGGAGTGCCATGGTGCGATCTCCACTCACTACAACCTCCACCTCCTTGGTTCAAGTGATTCTCCTGCCTCAGCCTCCTGAGTAGCTGGGATTACAGGCATGCACCACCACACCTGGCTAATTTTTGTAGTTTTAGTAGAGATGGGGTTTCACCATGTTGGCCAGGCACCGATTCTTATACCTGTTACCTATTTGGATGTCTTCTTTGGCAAAATGGTTATTCATTTCCTTTGCTCACTTTTAAATGGGATTATTTGTTTTTTCGCTATTGAGTTGTAGCCATTATTTATATATTTTGATATTAATCCTTTGTCAGATATTTGGTTTGCAAATATTTTTTCCTATGCCATAGGTTGCCTTTTCATTCTGTTGAATATTTCCTTTGCTGTTCAGGAGCTTTTTGGTTTTATATAGTCCTATTTGTCTATTTTTCCTTTTGTTGCTCATGTTTTTGGTGTCAGATCCAAGAAATCATTGTCAAGACCAGTGGCAAGAAGCTTTTCCCTTATGTTTTCTTCTTGGTAATTTATGGTTTCAGGTCTTACATTTAAGTCTTTACTCCACTTTTGGATTAATTTTTGTGTATGGTGTAAGATAAGGGTCCAATTTCATTCTTTTGCATGTGGATATCCAATTTTCTCAACACTATCTATTGAAGAGACTACTCTTTCCCCATCATGTATTCTTGGTACGCTTGTCAAAGATGAATTACCGTTTATGTGTGTGTTTATTTCTGGGTTCTCTGTTCTGTTCTATTGGTCTATGTGTCTGTGTTTTTATGCCAGTAACCATACTGTTTTGACTATGACAGCTTCAAATCAGAATCTTGAAGAGATATCTGCACTCCCATGTTCATTGAAGAAGCATTATTCATGACAGTCAAGGCGAGCAGCTTAAAAGTCTATCAGTGGATGAATAGATAAAGAAAATGTAGTATATTCATACAATGGTGTATTTTTCAGCTTTTTAAAAGAGAAGGAAATCTATTTGCAACAACATAGATGAACCTGAATGAAGGACATTATGCTAAGTAAAATAAGCCAAACACAGAAAAACTCATACTTCATAAATGAGGTAAAGTAGTTGAAGCCATAGAAGAAGTAGATAGTAGGTGGTGGTTACCAGGGGATGTGGGGTGGGGGAAATGGGGAGGTATTAGTTAAGGGTAAAAAGTTTTAGTTATGCCAGATGAATAAGTCCTAGAGATACACCGTATAGCATGGTGTCTATAGTTAATAATACTGTGTTGTATACTTAGAAATATGCCTGTATCATACACATACACACACACACACTCACACAGACACACCACACATATACACACACAAAGAGGGCAGGAGGAAACTTTTGGAGGTGATGGATATGTTTATGGCATAGATTTGATGATGGTTTCATGAATGTGTTCTTACCTCCAACTCATCGAGTTGTATACATTAAATATGTATAGCTTTTTGTATGTCAGTAATACCTCAATAAAGTGGTTTAAAAGAAATACTGTTCTTATTTTAACCAAGAAACTTGTCAGCCTCTTTCCTATTGATAGTTTAATGTATGTGTGCTCTGCGAATTCAAATACTGTTGCTTGTCAGTCCACATTTCTGAGTACTTGTATGTTACTAGAAAGACAAGTCATGCTATTCAAAAGCAAATACAGATGCATTTTGGTCATGTGTGTCAGCTTGGGTGATGTTTTGGCTGTATATGGCAGAAAACCTTAACATAACAATGGTTAAAACCACACACATTTATTTCTCTCTAATGTAAAAGAAGTCTAGAGTTAGGTAGCTCAGAGCTAGTTATACAGTGTCACTTTGCCATGAGAGACTAAGGCTCCTTTTTTCTTACTCTGCTATGCTGGCCTTCATGCCATCGAAGATGGCTTTTGGAGCTCTAGCCATCCCTTTCATGTTCCAAACTGGAAACCAAATGAGGCAGGAAAAAATGGACAATAGAATGCTTGCTCTTTCTCTTTTAAAGAGCCTTCTAGGAATTCAGAATCAAAACTTCTGTTTACATTAATGGGCTAGAACTTAATTACCTGGAGAAACTTAGCTGCAGTAGAGGCTGGGAAATAAATATTTTAGTAGGCATGCTATCCAAGATTCTGACATTAAGAAAGAAGGTAAAAATGGATAATGAAAGGCAATTTTTAGCTCTGCCAAAACGTTGTTAGAATGGGTAAGCGAGTTGATAGTTTTTGGAAAAATCACAAGTGCACTGTAAATAAAGTTATATAGAATTGGCTTTCACTCTGTATATGTAAATATTTGAAAACATGTCACTGCCCCAAATCATTTTTCTATGTGAAAAATGCAGAAAATCATTGCATTTGTGTATGTATGTGAATGTGCAAGACTAAATTACTTTTATGTCCAATGCTTTAAAAATACTCTTTTGTAGAGCCATGATAGATTTTTTTCAAGGAAATGCTGATTTTTTTTTTTTTTTGACAGTCTCCCTCTTTTTGCCCAGGCCGGAATGCAATGGCACGATATTGGCTCACTGGAACCTCTGCCTCCTGAGTTCAAGTGATTCTCCTGTCTCAGCCTCCTGAGTAGCTGAGATTACAGGTGCCTGCCATCATGCTTGGCTAATTTTTGTATTTTAGTAGAGATGGGGTTTCACCATGTTGGTCAGGCTGGTCTTGAACTCCTGACCTCAGGTGATCCACCTGCCTCAGTCTCCCAAAGTGCTGGAATTATAGGCGTGAGCCACCATGCCCGGCCCTGATGGATCTTAGAAAAATAAAGTATATCCCATGTTCTTGAAAAAACCCTGTAAAGTCTATACCTAGCAATTACAAAAGAATAAATATAAGTAGTCAGCAGTATGGCATAGTTCTCTGCCTTATTAGTAATCAAAGAAATGTAATTTAAACCGAAACCAAGATGTTTACTCTATGGAGTTAGCAAAAATGAAATACATATTAAGGCCTTAAGCTTGTTAGGATAGTCTTACATATTTCTGGCTGTAGTATAAATCAACAGTATAATCTTTATTTTTTATTTTTTTAATCAATTTTTTGATTATACTTTAAGTTCTGCAGTTTTGTTACATAGGTATACACGTGGCATGGTGGTTTGCTGCACCCATCAACCTGTCACCTACATTAGGTATTTCTCCTAATGTTATCCCTCCCCTAGCCCCCCACCTCCTGACAGGCCCCGGTATGTGATATTCCCCTCCCTATGTCCATGTGTTCTTATTGTTCAACTCCCACTTATGAGTGAGAACGTGTGGTGTTTGGTTTTCTGTTCTTGTGATAGTTTGCTGAGAATGATGGTTTCCAGCTTCATCCATGTCCCTGCAAAGGAAATGAACTCATCCTTTTTTATGGCTGCATAGTATTCCATGGTGTATATGTGCCACATTTTCTTTATCCAGTCTATTATTGATGGACATTTCGGTTCACTGGTCATTAGAGAAATGCAAATCAAAACCACAGTGAGATACCATCTCACACCAGTTAGAATGGTGATCATTAAAAGTCAGGAAACAACAGATGCTGGAGAGGATGTGGAGAAATAGGAATGCTTTTACACTGTTGGTGGGAGTGTAAACTAGTTCAACCATTGTGGAAGACAGTGTGGTAAGATTCCTCAAGGATCTAGAACTAGAAATACCATTTGACCCAGTAATCCCATTACTGGGTATATACCCCAAGGATTATAAATCATTCTACTATAAAGACACATGCACACGTATATTTATTGCAGCACTATTCACAATAGCAAAGACTTGGAACCAACCCAAATGTCCAACAGTATAATCTTTTTAGATAGCAGTTTGGCAATTCTATCAAGAATCGTAAAGTTGTTTATACTCATTGGCTCAGTAATTCCATTTCTGAAAATCTACTTTAAGAAAATAGTCTTGAATCAGTAAAAGGCTTTATGATAATAGTTAATACTTACTGAGTGGTTACTTTGTGCTAGTATTGTTCATAACCCTTTAGATAATATTTACAAGACACTTAATGATATAGATACACTGTATCATCCTCTTTCTCACTCCCATTTTATACTAGAATAAACTGACAAGCAGAAAAGTTAAGAGATTTTCACACTGTTTCACTGCTAAGTGGAGATGGTGGGGTTTGACGTCTGAAATTTGGTACTAATGTCTGCATGTTTAATCACCACTCTGTGCTGTCTCCCTGTGTGTTGTTTTGAGTTTTCAGCAGCAGCATTTACAGAAAGGAATAATAGCAGGATAGTTAAGAACACTATAGAACTTGCTAGAATTTTATGCATTTATTAAAATGTTCATTTTTGAAAAGCTAGTGTTAATATGCAATGTACTTAAGTTACATGCAGAAACAGGATACAATTTTATGTCAAGTAATTACAATTATGTAACAATATAACTCTCTGCTTAGAAATTAAAAAAAGGAAAGAAATACAACAAACTATTAATAATCATTGTAGGCCAGGCACGGTGGCTCACACCTGTAATCCCAGCACTTTGGGAGGCTGAGGCAGGCAGATCACCAGGTCAGGAGATTGAGACCACCCTGGCTAACATGGTGAAACTCTGTCTCTACTAAAAATACAAAAAAATTAGCCAGGCATGGTGGCAGGTACCTGTAGTCCCAGCTACTTGGTAGGCTGAGGCAGGAGAATGGCGTGAACCCGGAAGGCAGAGCTTGCAGTGAGCCAAGATCGCGCCACTGCACTCCAGCCTGGGTGACAGAGCGAGACTCCGTCTCAAAAAAAAAAAAAAAAAAAATCATTGTAATAGACTAATGGGGCTCTGGTTGAATTATTATTATTATTTTTTTGCTTTCCAAATTGCCTTGAATGAACACATATGGCTTCAATAATGTAAAAAAATTTAATAAAATTATTTATTGTAGAATTGTCCGGTCACTAAACAAAGCTGTCAAAGAAGCAGCCCAACTTCCTTGTTATATTGGCCCTTTTTGTGATCTCAAAGCTGCTTTGCAATGTGCAGTCTTTCCTATAGAAAGGTTGGACAATGACATCATAGTTATCTGAGAATATGTATAACTTTTGCTGTTTATATTAATCTTTATACAGTAGATGGCTTGGTAACCAAATGGTTTATTGGGACCTAGAAAAGGAGGTTAAGTGAAACTCACTGTCTCTATTTTGGTTATATGGGTTTTGTTCACTTGCTTGGAGGTTTCAGAACTCATAGTCCAATTAAATGTATTTGGGGAAAAGGGACTATCACTATGAAGAGGTTACATGAAAAGGATTGAGTGCCAGTTTGCCTGATAGTCTTGTGTGATAAGATGGATGTGATGCTTTCTACTCATGCCTCTTCTCAGCTCTCTGCTTTCCTGTAGCTGAAAATCAGGGCTTGAGTGGCCATTTTTAATGAAGAAGACCAGAGGGAGGATAAGCAAGATAAAGCATTGTAGTCTTGGGTCACACTGAAGGTAATTACATAAGTACATGGGGATGGTCTGTGTCATGTACGTATGCATATGTAGGTGCTCACTTAGAGAGCATGGGATTGTGAGAAATTGATAGGAGGCAATCATTGATTTCCATGGAGTTGGATTTTCTTATTGTTAGTCTGAGAATAATGTAATAATTTCAATAGTAATAGCATAAAGAGGTTAAGTAACTTGCCCAATCATGGATACAATATGTACTCACGTGGGTTTTGAAATTCAGGTTTGTCTAGCTCCAAAGCTTTTGCTCTTTCTAATAATAATCAACAGTTACATACTTGTTTAATTTGTTCTTTATAATAAAATATGTTTTATATTCACATTCAGCTGTTCAGGCTTTTCACTTTAAATTATAAATAAAAATAATCTAATGTCCTAAATCAATGTGTGGGAGAGATCAGTTAGAGTTAAGTCATCTTAACCATAGTCAATAATAATAATTTTGAATGTTTGGACTTTTTTCTAGAAACATTTTTTTTCCTGGACTTTAATCAATTTTGAAATCAGGTTCTATATTAAAGAAATGGAGACTTTCTCATTTTTTAATGACATAATACATTGTTTTAAAATCTAATAGATAATTATCTACTGTTTAAGTAGTCTTAAAGTGGATGATTTCTGTAATAACTGTTTAATAAATGAATATTACAGTATCTAATAAAGCACAGAGAAAAGAGTGGTTGGACTCTTATATTCTGTACAATCCTGACATCAATGATTATAATATTAGCCACCTAGAAAATAGATTCTTAGAGATAAAAATCTTAGCAAAATCACTACCATTGCTACTTCTAGTACTCTTACTTTTAGCTAAATATCTTGATCAGGTCTTCAGGTACTACGTTAAGGCTTTTACACACATTATACTGTTTAATACAGCAACTGTATGAAGTTGGTATTATTACTTCCATTTTATAGATGAGTATCTGAAGCCTAATAAGATTAAGTAACTTGCCTAAGATTATTCAGTAAATGGCGGATGAAGGACTTAAATCCAGGTCTGTCTTAATTCAAAGCTTATGTTTCCATTCTTCACCATTACATTATATGTAGATGATATCTATCTACAGGATAGATTCTCAATGGAGGATCACAGGCTGGAAGGAAGAATCCTGAATCCGCACAAGATCCTACTTGGTTCTGTCAACCAAGATGAGAGAAATTAAATTTTAATATAGAGAACAATATGAATGATATTTGGACCCTTGAAGTTAGCCTTTTCTTTAATTCAATATTTCTTTTGTAATTATTTTTGCATGAGAAACAGAAAACCTATTTCCAGTAGATATATGAGTTTTTTTTTCTTATGACACTCAGCTTTCCATTCCATTCTTAGTTATTATTCCATTGCATTTTTGAAGAACAATTTTTGGGGAGAGAAGGGAGAATTTAACTTTAAAAAATCATGGTTCTTTTTACCTAGATGACAAAGTCTGCATTATAATTTCTGCTCTTTCCTGGAATATATAGTCAAATTGCCAAGTTTAGTTATGTACCACATATTCATGGGCAGTTGGAGCATTTCCTTTGTAACCTTTTGTTCTTTTTCTTTGTAGCCGATAGAAAAATAAATTCTAACATTCAGAACCCTGAATTCAGTGTTATTTTCAGAAATCTCAGGCAGCAAAGTATATATCCAACATGAAAAGAAGCCTTTGCCCTGACTTTGGTCCTGAGGTGGGCCTATGTTGGAATATTTTATTACTCTGAAACCAAAGCTGAATTAATATCTTAAGTTGTTTTGTTGGGAGCTAGCTAACTGATGAATACTGCAGCAGTTCAAATAATTGCCTTAGCATCATGTTAATATTGAGGCACAGAAAAAGAGTTAGGTTTTGCTTCTCTGGTGTTCCCAGTTCAGTCACTAGCCTTTGGAGTAGGGGAGTGAATGGATATTATGGCAACTAGCAAACACTCACTGCTTCTGTGCCACTTGACTTTATTACATGACTGCATCCTTAACAAGATGAAGGAAGAAACTATACTGAAGACACATGGGAATCTGGGGCAAAAGGAAACTACTTTGGATTCTCCTTCTCTGTATTTTACATTTTCTTTGTAAGTGTTGCAGTTTTCCAATAAAATTATTTTTGTTACTTGTTATAGTCTGACCCATACTTACATTTTGAGAAAACCCAACACACACGTATGTTTGGGAAATATATGTATATTCAGTTCTATGGTCTTCATCCAGAGAAGCCTGTGATGGGAAGATGGAACCAGAAGATAACCAGTCACTTTGATTGATGTGCAGGGGAAGGTGTCATGATTTGATGCAAATTATCAACTGGACAATCAGGAAGTCTGGGTTTGAATCTTGTCTCAACCAATAACTACTTTTATGACCTTGATTTAATCAATTTATCTCTCTGAGCCCTACTTTTCTTCCCTTGTCAGATTAGGGAGTTAGACTAGAAGATCTTATAGGTCCTCTTTAGCTCTAAAATTCAATGATTTTAAGTGGCTCACAAATATTCATGTAATCATTGTCAAGTAAATTACTATATTATCTGTTTTAATCCATTGTTTCTAAAAATGAGTGTGAGCCCCTAGGCTATGAATTTCATGAGGCAAAAACTATTTGTCTTCACTTACTATTGTATTCTAAATATCCAGCACAGTGCCATAGTAAGATCTCACTAAGTATTTATTGAATGAAAACATATTTTATTAGTTTTATTACATGAGATTTCATGTAGTGGAAGGTTAGGTACAATATAAGATTCCCTAAGATAACTTCATGCAGATGACCTGGGCTTGCTCAGAAGTAATTTATCATGAAGCAGTTGATGAAATGATGCCATTAGAATCAATTTTTCAAATGTGCCCCACACTTTGAAAAAGTATTTTATTTATCCTGATGTAAGCTGCTGTTACTGGAATTTGGAGCTTTTAAAACTACCACGGTAAATGGAAAAACTTTTACAAGACATCATGAAAATTAACTTATCAGGAAGTCAGAGCAAAATGATTTTTAGATTCTTTTTATTAGACAACTTAACGAAGGGATTGGCGATCATGAAATTCATGCACTCTATACTACACAGCATGATTCCCTCTTAGGGAACTCCATGGGGACAGGTCTAGTCTTTTCTGCATTATATAAAATTACTAGACCATTAAGATAATTAATGCAGGTTAAAATTAGTAGTCTTCTTTTCCCCTGTATTTCATGAAGCAGCATCCGAGCTTCTCTTTTTTGTCTTCAAATATCTAGTCTAAAGTCACTAAAGAAGAGGTTTAGAAGCTTTCACACAAAATATAATTGGTACTTGATCTCCAAAAGAATTCTAGAGAATGAGAAGAAAGTTATTTACATATTTTCTGGTTAGTGTTGATTTTTAACATTTCAAAGGTGCTGTACACAAAACTATTTAGAATTTCTTCCATTCATTTGTGGAACTAATTTTATTTTGTTTGTGCCAAAGTTGTTCTTTCCATGTGACTAGTATATTCTGTTCATGTTCCTCCTGAGACTGCATATATTCTAGTTACTGATTGAACCATTATTTAGTTCATTGTTGAAGCAACTGTGATTGCTCTGGAATCTAATTAAAATGCATATTGGCATGCTTTTCAAGAAAATTATCTTTACTAAACTATTCAAAGCATCTTTTATTAAAATAATTTTTAATAATGGTAGAAATAACAGTCATAGTAGAAGCAGTAATGGTATTCATAGTAGTAGAAAAGTCCTAAAGAACAAGTTTCATTGATTGAATGATTTTATTTTATGTTTTAGACACAGTGTCTTGCTCTGTTGCCCAGGCTGGAGTACAGTGGCATGATCATAGCTTACTGCAGCCTCTAAATCCTGGGCTCAAAGTGATGTCTCCCCTCAGTCTCTCAGGTAACTAGGACTAGAGGTGTGCACCACTAAACTCAGATAATTTATTTTTTGTAGAGATGGTGTCTCACTATGTTGCCCAGGCTGGTCACAAACTCCTGGCTTCAAGTGATCTTCCTGCCTCAGCCTCCCAAAGTGCTGGGAATACAAGCATGAGCCACCATGACTTGCCAAGAACAAGTTTTAAAATAAGTGTACAAAGAAGGCTAAAACTTTATAAAACCTACCTATTTTCTATTTTTATCCCATTCTACTACATGGATCTTTCCAATATGCATATCTAATTATATCTTTCTATGGCCTCTAAAACTCTTTGGTGATGCTTCATCAATTTCAACGTAACCCATCTTCCTCAGCATGGCACAGAAGGCACTTTATTATTCCAAGTACACATTTTCAATTTTGGTACCTACCTTTTCATTTTGAACTTTACACTCTATTAAATACTGAGTGTGGCTCACAGATATTCACGTGGCTCACAAATATTCATGTAATAATTGTCAAGTTCCCTACTCATACTGTGGTCTTTTAGATTTCTGTACTGCAACACAGTGCATAAGAGACAAACATACTTACTCACAAACCTACTTATGAGCTACATGACCTGAAAATTACTTTCCTTTTCTGAGCTTCACATTTGTCACCTATAAAATGGAGATAATACCAACTTAAAATTTTAAAAATTAAATAAAAAATTTTAAATTGGCAAGTGATTGTACTTATCCATGAGATACACAGTGATGTTTTGATACATACAATGTATAGTGATTAGATCAGGGTAATTAGCATATCCATAATCTCAAATATTGATTGTTTCTTTGTGTGGGAACATACAATATCTTCCTTCTAGCTATTTTAAACTACATAATATATTGTTTTTAAGAATAGTCATCCTATAGTGGTATAGAACACTAGAATTTAATCTAGCTGCAATTTTTTAATCTTTTATGAAATCTCTCCCATCTCTCCCCTTCTCCCTACCCTTACCAGCGTATAGTAACTTCTGTTCTACTTTTCTTCTATGAGATTAAAAGTCTTTTAGCTTTCACATATGAGTGAGAACATGTGGTGTTTAATTTTCGGTTCCTGACATATTTCATTTAGCATAATGTCCTCCAGTTCCATCCATGTTACCAAAAATGACATGATTTTATTCTTTTTTATGGGCGAATAGTACTTCATTGTGTATATATACACTGCCTTTTTAAAATTTTTACTTTAAAAAATTTATTTTAGGTTCAGGGGTACATGTGCAGGTTTGTTATTTAGGTAAACTGCAGGTCATGGGGGTTTGATGTACAGATAATTTCAGCACCATGGTAATAAGCATAGTACCCTCTAGGTATTTTTTTCTGATCCCCTCCCCGCTCCCACCCTTCACCCTCAAGTAGGCCCCAGCATCTGTTGTTCCCCTCCTAGTATTCATGTATTCTTCGTTTAGCTCCCACTTAAAAGTGAGAACATACAGTGTTTGGTTTTCTGTTTCTGTGTTAGTTCGCTTAAGCTCCACCCATGTTGCTGCAAAGGACATGATCTCATTCTTTTTATAGCTGCATAGTATTTCATGGTTTATATGTACCACATTTTCTTTATCCAGTTTACTGTTGATGAGCATTTAGGTTCATTCCATGTCTTTGCTATTGTGAATAGTGTTGCAATGAATATATGTATGCATGTGTCTTTATGGTAGAACAATTTATATCCCTTTGGGTATATACCCAATAATGGGACTGTGGGGTCAAATGGCAGTTGTTTTAAGTTCTTCGAGGAATTGCCACACTGCTTTCCACATGTTGGCTGCATGAATGTCCTATTTCACTTGCTCATTTATTTATTAATTCGTCCAAGAAATATTTATTAAACAGCCACTGTGTTCCAGGCATTGTGCTAGTTGCACATTTTCAATTCTTGGCTTCTTGCCTCTCCCCTCACACTTCATACCTCTGATACCTTGAACTGTCCCTCAACTCAGCTTTTCTGTTTCTATGAATCCTGCTATTTTCAAAATATCCAGGATCTGAATTGTGAAACGTCTTTGATTTTTCTTTTCTCCTTGTCTCTATTTCTTTTTACCTGCGAAATCCTTGCCAGGTGCTGATCAAAACTTTTCAAAAGGCTCATAATGCCTGCGGGCATTTCTGAGCCAGCCATTTAAAAACAGCCTGATAAAACTATCTGCCATGCTTTGGAATCAAATTAGACTATACTGCAACTCCTCTTTGAATTTCCACAAATACTATCTGATTTGTCTCTGCTAGTTCCTGACCTTCCTTTCCATTCACAGCTCCTACTCCTTTATTTGCTTTGCTTGCCTCTCTCTTGATACCCAATAACTAGTCAGGCCTAGTCAAAGGTAGAATTTTGATTCTATTTTTTTTTTTTTATCTTGGGCTGCTTTTGATGTTTGACTGTTAGAATTTGTTAAGTGACTTTCTCATTTGGTCTTTAGTGCCTCCCTTTCCTCTAAGATGGGATATGAATTTTTTTTTGCCACTTTGTCAGAAGTGATCCATGATCGGCTTTAATTTTCTTTTTTTAAATTTATTTTTATTTTTTATTATACTTTAAGTTCTAGGGTACATGTGCACAACGTGCAGGTTTGTTACATATGTATACATGTGCCATTTTGGTGTGCTCCACCCATTAAATCGTCATATACATTAGGTATATCTCCTAATGCTATCCCTCCCCCCTCCCCAACCCCACAACAGGCCCTAGTGTGTGATGTTCCACTTCCTGTGTCCATGTGTTCTCATTGTTCAATTCCCACCTATGAGTGAGAACATGTGGTATTTGGTCTTCTCTCCTTGTGATAGTTTGCTGAGAATGATGGTTTCCAGCTTCATCCATGTCCCTAGAAAGGACATGAACTTATCCTTTTTTATGGCTGAATAGTATTCCATGGTGTATATGTGCCACATTTTCTTAATCCAGTCTACCATTGATGGACATTTGGGTTGGTTCCAAGTCTTTGCTATTGTGAATAGTGCTGCAATAAACATTCAAATTCAGGAAATACAGAGAAAGCCACAAAGATACTCCTCAAGAAGAGCAACTCCAAGACACATAATTGTCAGATTCACCAAAGTTGAAATGAAGGAAAAAATATTCAGGGCAGCCAGAGAGAAAGGTCAGGTTACCCACAGAGGAAAGCCCATCAGACTAATAGCAGATTTCTTGGCAGAAACTCTACAAGCCAGAAGAGACTGGGGGCCAATATTCAACATTCTTAAAGAAAAGAATTTTCAATCCAGAATTTCATATCCAGCCAAACTAAGCTTCATAAGTGAAGGAGAAATAAAATCCTTTACAGACAAGCAAATGCTGAGAGATTTTGTCACCACCAGGCCTGCCCTACAAGAGCTCCTGAAGGAAGCACTAAACATGGAAAGGAACAACCGGTACCAGCCACTGCAAAAACATGCCAAATTGTAAAGACCATTGATGCTAGGAAGAAACTGCATCAACTAACGAGCAAAATAACCAGCTAACATCATCATGACAGGATCAAATTCACACATAACAATATTAACCTTAAATGTAAATGGGCTAAATGCTCCAATTAAAAGACACAGACTGGCAAATTGGATAAACAGTCAAGATCCATCAGTGTGCTGTATTCAGGAGACCCATCTCAAGTGCAGGACACACATAGGCTTAAAATAAAGGGATGGAGGAAGATCTACGAAGCAAATGGAAAACAAAAAAAAGGCAAGGGTTGCAATCCTAGTCTCTGATAAAACAGACTTTAAACCAACAAAGATCAAAAGAGACAAAGAAGGCCATTACATAATGGTAAAGGGATCAATTCAACAAGAAGAGCTAACTATCCTAAATATATATGCACCCAATACAGGAGCACCCAGATTCATAAAGCAAGTCCTTAGAGACCTACAAAGAGACTTAGACTCCCACACAATAATAATGGGAGACTTTAACACCCCACTGTCAACAACAGACAGATCAACGAGACAGAAAGTTAACAAGGATACCCAGGAATTGAACTCAGCTCTGCACCAAGCAGACCTAATAGACATCTACAGAACTCTCCACCCCAAATCAACAGAATATGCATTCTTCTCAGCACCACATCGCACTTATTCCAAAATTGACCACATAGTTGGAGGTAAAGCAGTCCTAGCAAATGTAAAAGATCTGCTTTAATTTTCTTTGACATATTCTTTGTATTTCCACTGTGCCCATTCTTGTTAAAACGCTTATTTAATTACACTCTTATTTAATTACAGCTCTTATTTCCACTGTGCCCATTCTAGTTAAAGCTCTTATTTAATTACACTTGGATCATTGTAATACCTTTCTGTTGACTTTTCTGCTTTTACCTGCTATTTTTAGTTGATGCTGTACATTCATGCCAAATTAATCTTTCTAAAAGTCTTGCTTTGATTGGATTGTTCTCCTACTTCTTATAACTGACACTGTATAGACAAATTCTTTAGCCAGGCATCCAAAGCTCTCCACAATCTAGGGTTAATCTACTGTTTCTCCTATAAGAAGAATCTTTTGCTCTTGACAAACTGATCAGTTCTCTTTCAGAGATGTCTTGCTTATACAGGTGGTTTTCAAACTCTTATTAATTGATCCAAAAGTCATTAATTGATCCAAAGGATATTTGTCTCCTTATTCCATGAGGCACCTCATGGGATTCCAAACTCTGGGGCTCCATGAAACACTATTTGAAGACTATTGGTGTTATCTTTTTGACATCTTATCTCATTTGAACCTTATGTTTTAAATGAGGATCAAGCTTGATAAAGATTGTTTTACCAATAATTTATAATTTGCAAAACAAAGTTTTCTAATGTCAGTGTTTGCTTCCTAGCATACTAAGTTGCCTTTGCATTGTAAATTTCTTAAGGGTAAGTCATTATAATGTACTTTTTTGATATATTATGAAATACTTAATACCTAGTAAATGGTTATTTAATAAACAGTTATTAATTTTTTTATGCCTCTTTTTATTTTCTGTACTTCCTGGTACAATGTTGGATATCCAGTATTATTAATATTGATCTAAAGTTAGAGCTGGAGAGAGTAGGTAGAAATGTATGTCACAAATTATTTTGGGCCCAGAAGATTGAAAGCTGTGTTCTTCAGCATATTTTAAAAATTGTTTACCTAAACTTGCCCTGAGTTTTGATATGTTCTGTTAGGTTGTAAACTCCTTGAAGTCAGATTCTATGGTATATTTTATCTCTCCATCCTAATTGCTCATCACACAATTTTTAACATATAAAATAAACATATTTATGTTCTGACATATTTCTGATGAGTGACAGTGCTTTGAGGAAGAGGAAAAAAGGAAACTACAGCCAATAATAACATTTACCTTGAAAATTATAAGAGAATATATGACAAACTACACAGTAAATTATATAAAATATACATTTGCTGAATCCATTTTCCTAAAATCCTGTTAATGAATGAGATATGGCCCTCATGAGAATTAGAATAGATGGTATTTGTCTAATGGGAATAAATAATGCCTGGGGTATTATGGAATATTATTCTATCAAGCCAGAAGGTAATAAAATCTTCCTAAAATTGGCACAGAGTGATTGCATTGTACTTTTTTTTCCAGGGCACACTTATCTGGGGGCAGTTCATTGGGGGCAGAGGTATAACTTTTGGCCACTAATGTTACAGTGTTGTCTCATTCTTCAATACCACTTTCACTACCCAGAATTGCCCTTAGGCTCTTTCCAAACTAGGAAGGACTTCATTAAGAAATGGAGCTCTACCCTACTTATTTCTAATTGAGTTTCAGTTTAAGGTTATAGATATAGGGGAGCTGGGGCAAACTAAAGGAGGGAACATCAGTGAAATGATTCTTTAACTATTTATAAACCAATTAGATCTCATTAGAATATATAGTATTGGGACCCTTGCTGCTTCTGCATCACTCAATTATCTAGGCATATTTGTATGCTTTAAGGAAGAAGAGAAGGCAGAAGCCTCTGGGAATAAATAAGTGCTGAGTATTGGCTTTGACATAGTAGTTGAACTACCCAATGTAATTCTGTTTTCTGTAAGTGTTCTTATTACAATCACAAATGGATTGTTTTATAGTGAAACTTTGTTTTTGTAAGTGAATTATTAGTTTGATTATACTCAATGAAACTTCTGTGGTGAATCTAGATGGCCAAGAATATTTCTCAACCTTGAAACAGGTTGAAATCTTCAAGAATGTATTGGCCTCAATGTGTGAATATTTTTATATGATTCAATAATTCAGGAGTTGATCCATTAAAAATCCTTTGTCTGTAAGCGAGTCACAACTGCAGTTGGGTCTTATATACTCTTATATGTAATAATAAAATTTTGAAGGGGTAAACATATTTCGGGAAAGTAAATCTAATAATCAAATATAAGAGAGGCCTCTTTGAGATGAGAATTGGGTCTCATTTTATGTAACAGAAAGCCCAAAATAATATTAGTTTGAATATGGTAGAATTTACTTCTTATCAATCTGAAAGAGATGCAGAGGTAGGGCATGTAGTAGGTATAGCCTCATGGTGGTAAAACACCAAGAATCCTTCTATATTTTTTTCTCTACCATTTGTAACCTCCCTTGAAAATAAAATGCCTCATAGTTTGAGATGGATAGTACCAGGCAGAAGAAACAATAAAGGGGAAGATGAGTGGATTGCATCTTCTAGCCAAGTCACCTTCCCTAAAGAATCTTCTAGAAAGTCTCATATTTATGCCTAACTGGTCAGAACTTAGTTATAGTGCCATATGAAATGTCTTAGTTCATTTTTGCTACTATAACAGAATACTTGAGGCTGGTAATTTATAATGAAGAGAAATGTATTGGTTCATGATTCTGGATGCTGGGAAGTACAAGATGGAGGGACCAGCATCTGGCAAAGGCCCTCTTGCTGTGTCATCTTATGGCAGAAGGTGGAAGGGCAAGAATATGGTGGGAAAGAGAAAGGGAGGAGCGGGTACCCACAACTCATCCTTTCATAAGGAGCCTGCTCCCATGATAATGACATTAATTCCTTCATGAGGGCAGAGCCCTCATGGCCTAATCACTTCTTAAAGGTTCCACCTCTTAATACTGTTAATACTGGCAATTAAGTTTCTAACACATGCTTTTTGGTGGACACTTAAAGCCTTAGCACTCATCATAAATGGTATTGCCATTCTCACCAGGGAAATGAAGATTAAAAAATAAAACTAGAGCTGGGCACAGTGGCTAACACCTATAATCCCAGCACTTTGGGATGCTAAGACAGAGAGATTGCTTGAGGCCAGGAGTTTGAGACCAATATATGTAACATAGTGAGATCTTGTGTCTACCAAAAAAAAGAAAAATTAGCTGGGTGGAGTGGCACACACCTGTAGTCCTACCTACTTAGGAGCCTGAGACAGGAGGATTGTTTGAGTCCAGGACTTTGAGGCTGCAGTGAGCTATTATCACACGACTGCAACTCCAGCCTGGGTGACAGAGCAAGACCCCGTATCTAAGTAAGTAAATAAATAAATAAATACATATTTTCACCCAGATAAATGGGGTTTTATTATTAAATAGAGATAAGAAAGAATATTGGGTAGGTGATTTAGCAATTTTAGCACTCTGTTGGTTTAATTATGGTGTTTAGATACAGATTGAGTATCTCTTATCCAAAATGCTTGGGATCAGAAGTGTTTCAGATTTCTGATTTTTTTTTTTGGAGTTTGGAATTATACCAGTTGAGCATCCCTAATCCAAAAATCTGAAATCTGAAATGTTCCATTGAGTATTTCCTTTCAGCATCATAGCAATGCTCATAGAGTTTCAGTTTTGGAGGATTTCGGATTTTTGGATTAAGCGTGCTCAACCTGTACTTCTGATCTCTGGGAATAGACATTAAAAATATGCCAGCCTTCTGCTCGATTAAAAAAATAAAATTTCTACTAAAGTTATTTGGAGATATATTTATTAGTAAATTTGCAGTAAAATAGCATAAAAGTACTAAGTATGTTTGATGAATTATATCTTTTGTTTTTTGTATGAAGAAAATGAGGTCCCATTTAATCAAAGAAGTGTACCTAACCAGATAGTGAAAGAGCCAGGGATCTCTTGAACTGTTTAATTTTCCATTTGTGTCATAATCTTGGAAATATTAGGAAATGATATGATCAATGAAGTGTAAACAGATTTTAAAAGATTCACATATGGGAATATGTACTTTAGATATTTCATTTCATTACTGGTCCATAAAACCTAGATGATGACAGATAAAGATTTGAAGCATAATTTTTCAAATATTGTTGCAAACTTCTTGCTTCTGTTCATGGCTATCATTCTTCTTTTATGTTTTTATTAGCTACTTCAGTGTGGCTTGCTTTATGTGTCCAGATTTAGAAGGAGACTGGCTAGCCATAATTCTGTACTACTCATGGAGGTTGGTTTTCAGAAATATCTCAGAGACATGCATTCTTACCATTTATTGGGGATTGCTAAATCATGAAAAATAATGTAGTAAAAGTAGCAGTGGGAGAAATATTTTCAGGTTTTGTTTTGGTTGCTATAGCTTTCTTTGCCCCCAGCATACTCTTTTCCTATTGTTGCTTCTCAATGTACATATATCTTTACCATCCCACCTGTATCTGCAAGCCTTTTTCCATGCACCAAGAAAAATCTCTACCATCATTTGGAATCTATTACTGGGACTGTCTTCTGTAGGCAGTCTTTTTGACTGAGACAAAGAATGTTGGGTTTTGCCTATCCTGTTTTCATTTATATTTGAGGAGGCAGTGAATAGAGGTCAAAAGAATATGAGCTTTGGAGTCAGAGGTGCTGAATTTGGATATTGGCTATTCTTACTTTTTGTTCAATTTCTTAATTTTTAAAGTGGGGATGAGAATTTTATCACAGAGATAATGTTAAAGTAGGGAATGCCATATGTAAAAAGGCATTTTTAACACATAGCCAAGCCTTAGTAAATTATATTGAATGGATAAGTGCTTGAAATTTCAACTTTTTTTTCCTGTCCATGAGAAATGCTTCTGCTTAACTTTTGTGATTTTATATACACCACTTTTATTGATTTTATCATATACTTTGTTTACTGTATCATTCCCCACTACATGTTATGATTGCAGGGTACGGTTGTAACAGATTGTGGGAGGCAGTGTGCGTAGTGGTTAAAAGCATGGTCTCTGGAATGAGGCTTCCTGTGTTCTTAGTACTATCCACTCTCTACCTTTTTTTCAAATTGGGTTATACATTTATTTTTAGCATTTTAATCATTTTTAGGTGTGAAATTCAGTGGCATTAAATATATTCACAATGTTGTACAACCATTATCACTATCCATTTCCAGAACATTTTCATCATCCCAAACAGAAACTCTTTACCCATTAAACAATAACTCCCCATTCATCACTTCTCCCAGACCCTGGTAGCCTCTGTTTTTCTTTCTTTCCCTCCTTCCCTCGCTTCTTCCTTCCCTCTGAAATTCAGCTTTTTATTTCCATATACATTCTACTCAATATAAGGTAGCGGTATAACCATAAATGAACTGCTAAATATCTACTCCTTTCCACAACTTTAAGGTATGATTGATAAATAAATATTGTTATAGTTACAGTGTACAATGTAATGTTTTGATTTACATATATATTGTGAAATGATTAAATAAAACGAATTGATACATTGCCAAACCTAAATAACAAAGGAAGAGTCTCTCTCTATCTTAAAGAAATTGATATTTATTTGGGAGTAACACTGCAATGGGAATACGTATGCCGTAGTAAACTATGTGAATATTCAGGGAGGTTGAGGAAGTTGGAAGTTTTAAAAGGCAAATGAGGAGGATTATGTAAGTTGTTTTTAATCAATTATCCTTGGCTACAAGGATCAAAACAAGGGTGGTGCCAATCTAAGGTTGGACAGGCAGTTGCTGGACAGATGTCCTTGCCAAGTGTTTTCTGTGTAAGGCTATGGTGGCTTTTGTGCAAAGTTGTGTTTTTTTGCAGAGTCTTTTTTGATAGTTCTTGTTAATGGTTAATAGTTCTTGTTATCAGGCACACATGTGTGAGAACCCTCCCTTCATGGCTTTCCTGTTTCCATTTTTCAGGGATTTGACACAAGTGACTCCATGTTGATTCTGACAAATTTCACAGTATCCATTATATCACATACTTACCTTTTTCTGAGGTGAGAACATTGAAGATCTACTCACTTAGCAATTTTCAAACATGCAATACATTATTATTAACTATAGTCACCGTGCTGTACAATAGGTATTTTTCATCCTAACTGAAATTTTGTATTCCCTTTGATCAGGATCTCTTGATTCCCCTCTATCCCCCCCATCCCCTGGCAACCACCTATTATCTGCTTTTACGCATTCAAGTTTTTCTGATTCTACATATAAGTGTGATCCTGCAGTATTTGTCTTTCTATGTCTGGCTTATTCCATTTATCATAATGTCCTCTAGGTTCATCTATGTTGTCACAAATGACAGGATTCCCTTCTTTTTAAAGGGTAAATAGTATTCAATTTTACTACATTTTCGCATTTTCTTTTTCCATTCATTTATCAATTGACACTTGGGTTGATTCCATATTTTGACTATTGTAAATAATGCTGCAATGAACTTGGGAGTGCACATATCTCTTTGACATACTGGTTTCCTATCTTTTGGATACCCTTGCCAGGGTGGGATTGCTGGGTCATATGATAGTTTTAGTTTCAATGTTTTGAGGAAAGTCCATACTGTTATTTTTTTCTTCGTTGAACTTTCATTATGTGTTTATTTAGAAAAATTACTTTGTTTTTCTTTTCAAAAATTTATTTATTTTTAAAATTTTATTTATTTATCTTTTATTTCCATAGGTTATTGGGGAACAGGTGGTATCTGGTTACATGAGTAAGTTCTTTAGTGGTGATTTGTGAGATTTTGGTGCACCCACCACCTGAGCAGTATATGCTGCACCAAATTTGTAGTCTTTTATCCCTCACCCTTTTCCCTCCCTTTCCCCCTGAATCCACGAAGTGCATTGTGTCATTCTTATTTATGCGTTTGCATCCTCATAGCTTAGCTCCCAATTATGAGTGAGATCATGTGATGTTTGGTTTTTCATTCTTGAGTTACTTCACTTAGAATAATACTCTCCAATCTTATCCACGTTGCCATGAATACCATTAGTTCATTCCTTTTTATGGCAGAGTAGTATTCATATATATATACATATGTGTATATACATATGTATATATATATGTGTGTATATATATACACATATGTGTATATATATACACATATGTGTATATACATATGTATATATATGTGTATATATATACACATATGTGTATATATATGTGTGTATATATACACATATGTGTATATATATACACACACACACATATGTGTGTGTATATATATATACACATATATATATACATATGTGTGTATATATATATATATGGCATTTGGGTTGTTTCCACATTTTTGCAATTGTGAATTGTGCTGCTATAAACATGCATATGCAAGTATCTTTTTTGTATAATGACTTCTTTTCTTCTGGGTAGATACCCAGTAGTGGGATTGCTGGATCAAATGGTAGTTTTACTTTTAGTTCTTTAAGGAATATCCAGAGTGTTTTCCATAGTGGTTGTGCTAGTTTACATCCCCACCAGCAGTGTAGAAGTGTTCCCTGTTCACTGCATCCACACCAACATTTATTTTTTAATTTTTTGATTATGGCCATTCATGCAGGAGTAAGGTGGTATCGCGTTGTAAGGTGATTTGCATTTTCCTGATCATTAGTGATGTTAAGCATTTTTCCATATGTTTGTTGGCCAGTTGTATATCTTCTTTTGATAACTGTCTATTCATGTCCTTAGTCCACCTTTTGATGGGATTGTTTGTTTTTTTCTTGCTAATTTGTTTGTGTTTGTTGTAGATTCTGGATATTAGTCCTTTCTCAGATGTACAGATTGTGAAGATTTTCTCCCACAGCATTCTGTTTACTCTGCTGACTGTTCCTTTTGCCATGGAAAAGCTCTTTAATTAAGTCCAGCTATTTATCTTTGTTTTTATTGCAATTGCTTTTGGGTTCTTGGTCATGAAATCCTTGCCTAAGCCAATGTCTAGAAGGGTGTTTCTGATGTTATTTTTTAGAATTTTTATAGTTTCAAGTCTTAGATTTAGGTCCTTGATCCTTCTTGAGTTGATTTTTGTATAAGATGAGAGATGATTTTTTTGTATAAGATGAGAGATGAGGATCCAGTTTCATTCTCCTACATGTGGCTAGCCAATTATCCCAGCACTGTTTGTTGAATAGGGTGTCCTTTCCCCACTTTATGTTTTTGTCTGCTTTGTCAAAGATCCTGTAAGTATTTGGGTTTATTTCTGGGTTCACTATTATGTTCCATTGGTCTATGTGCCTATTTTTATACCAGTACTATGCTGTTTTGGTGACTATGGCCTTATAGAATAATTTGAAATTATTCTAATGTGTAATGTGATGCCTCTAGATTTGTTCTTTTTGGTTAGTCTTGCTTTGACTTGGTGGGCTCGTTTTTGGCTCCATATGAATTTTAGAATTGTTTTTTCTAGTTCCGTGAAAAATGATGGTGATATTTTGATGGGAATTGCACTGAATTTGTACATTGCTTTTGGCAGTATGGTCATTTTCACAATATTTATTCTACCCATCCATGAACATAGGATGTGCTTCCATTTGTTTGTGTCATCTATGATTTCTTTCAGCAGTGTTTTGTAGTTTTCCTTGTAGAGGTCTTTCACCTCCTTGGTTAGGTATATTCCTAAGTGTATCTCTCTCTCTCTCTCTCTCTCTCTATATATATATATATATATTTTTATATATTTATATATATTTATATATTTATATATATTTATTTATATTTTTATATATTTATATATATTTTTATATATTTATATTTATATATTTATATATTTATCTATATTTATATATTTATATATATTTATATATTTATCTATATTTATCTATATTTATATATATTTATATATTTATATATATTTATATATTTTATGTATTTATATATTTATATATATTTATATATTTATATATGTTTATATATTTATATATATATTTATATATATTTTTATATATTTATATATATTTATATGTATTTATTTATATATTTATATGTATTTATTTATATATTTATATATATTTATATATATTTATATATTTATATTTATATATATTTATATATAGTTATATATATTTATATATTTACGTATATTTATATATATTTACATATATTTATATATATTTACATACATTTACATATATATACATATACATATATTTACATATATTTACATATATTTACATATATATATTTATATATTTATATGTATATATATTTATATATATTTATATATTTATATATATTTATATATATAAATATATATTTATAAATATATATATTTATATATATATTGCAGCTATTGCAAAAGGGGTTGAGTTCTTGATTTGATTCTCAGCTTGGTCGCTGTTGGTGCATAGAAGAGCTGCTGATTTGTGTACATTGATGTTGTATCCAGAAACTTTTAAGAAGTCTTTTATCAGTTCTAGGAGCTTTTTGGATGAGTCTTTAGGGTTTTCTAGGTATACAGTCATATAATCAGTAAATAGTGACAGTTTGACTTCCTCTTTACCGATTTGGATGCCCTTTATTTCTTTCTTTTGTCTGATTGCTCTGGTAGGACTTCCAGTACTATATTGAAGAGAAGTGGTGAGAGTGGGCATCCTTGTCTTGTTCCAGTTCTCAGAGGGAATGCTTTCAACTTTTCCCAATTCAGTATAATGTTGGCTGTGGATTTGTCATAGATGGCTTTTTTTTACAACGAGATATGTCCTTTGTATGCCGATTTTGCTGCGAGTTTTAATCATAAAGGGATGCTGGATTTTGTCAAATGCTTTTGCTGCATCTATTAAGATGATGATGTGATTTTTGTTTTTAATTGTTTATGTGGTGTATCACATTTATTGACTTGTGTATGTTAAACCATCCCTGCATCCCTGGTGTGAAACCCACTTGATCATGGTGGATTAACTTTTCAATATGTTGTTAGATTGGGTTAGGTAGTATTTTGTTTAGGATTTTTGCATCTATGTTCATTAGGGGTATTAGTCTGTAGTTTTCTTTTTTTGTTATGTGCTTCCGTGGTTTTGGTATTTGGGTGATATTGGCTTCATAGAATGATTTAGGGAGGAATCCCTCTTTCTCTGTCTTGTGGAATAGTGTCAATAGGATTGGTACCAGTTCTTCTTTGAATTTCTGATAGAATTCACCTGTGAATCCGTCTGGTCTTGAACTTTTTTTTTTAATTACCATTTCAATCTCTCTGCTTGTTATTGGTCTGTTCAGGGTGTCTAATTCTTCGTGATTTAAGCTAAGAGGGTTGTATCTTTCCAGGAATTTATCCATCTCCACTAGGTTTTCTAGTTTCTGTGTGTAAAGGTGTTCATAGTAGCCTTGAATGATCTTTTGTATTTCTATCGTGTCAGTTGTAATATCTCTTGTTTTGTTTCTAATTGAGCTTATTTGGATCTTCTCTCTTGTTTTCTTGGTTATTCTTGGTAATGGTCTATCAATTTTATTTATCTTTTCAAAGAACCAGCTTTTTGTTTCATTTATCTTTTATATTTTTTTGTTTGTTTTAATTTTATTTAGTTCTGCTCTGATCTTGGTTATTTCTTTTCTTCTGCTGGATTTCGGTTTGGTTTGTTCTTGTTTCCCTAGTTCCTTGAGGTCTGATCTTTGTCTGTTAGGGCTCTTTCAGACTTTTTGATGTAGGTGTTTAGGGCTATGATATTTCCTATTAGCACTGCCTTTGCTGTATCCCAGAGGTTTTGATAGGATGTGTCACTATCATCATTCAGTTTAAATAATTTTTAAATTTCCATCTTGATTTCATTGTTGACTCAATGATCATTCAGGAGCAGGTTATTTCATTTTCATATATTTGCATGGTTTTAAATGTTCCTTTTGGAGTTGATACCAGTTTTATTCCACTATGGTCTGAGAGATTGCTTGATGTAATTTCAAATTTTATAAATTTATTGAGGCTTGTTTTGTAGGCTATCATATCGTCTATCTTGGAGAAAGTTCCATGCAATGATGAATAGAATCTATATTGTGCAGTTGTTTGGTAGAATGTTCTGTAAATACCTGTTAAGTTCATTGGTTCCAGGGTGTAGTTTAAATTTTTTTTATTGTTGTTGTTGACTTTCTGTCTTGACCTGTCTAGTGCTGTCAGTGGAGTATTGAAGTTCCCTACTGTTATTATGTTGCTGTCTATCTCATTTCTTAGATCTAGTAGTAATTGTTTTATAAATTTGGGAGCTCTAATGCTAGGTGCATATATATTTAGGATTGTGATATTTTCCTGTTGGACAAGGCCTTTTATCATTATATAATGTCTCTCTTTGTCTTTTTCAACTTTTGCTCTAAAGTCTGTTTTGTTTGATATAAGAATAGATGCTCTTGCTCACTTTCGTTGTCCATTTGCTTGGAATGTCTTTTTCCACCTCTTTACTTTCAGTTTATGTATGTGAGTCCTTACTTGAGTCTCTTGAAGGCAGCAGATTGTTAGTTGATGAATTCTTATCCATTTTGCAATTCTGTATCTTTTAAGTGAAGCATTTAGGCCATTTACATGCAACATTAGTATTGAGATATGAGGTTGTATTCCATTCATCATACTATTTGTTGCCTCTTTACTTTTTAAAATTATATTTTTGTTTTATAAGTTCTGTGTGATTTATGCTTTAAAGAGGTTCTGTTTTAATGTGTTTCCAGGATTTGTTTCAAGATTTAGAGCTCTTTTTAGCAGTTCTTGTAGTGCTGGCTTAGTAGTGGTGAATTCTCTTATCATTTGTTTTTCTGAAAAAGACATGTGTTTCCTTCATTTATGAAGCTTAGTTTTTCTGGATACAAAATTCTTGGCTGTTAATTGTTTGGTTTAATGAGGTTGAAGATAGGGCTCCAATTTCCTCTAGCTTATAGGGTTTCTGCTGAGAAATCTGCTGTTAATTTGATAGGTTTTTCTTTATAGGTTACCTGGTGCTTTTGCCTCACATCTTGTAAAATTCTTTCCTTTGTCTTAACTTTAGATAACCTGATGACAATGTGCCTAGGTGATGATCTTTTTGTGATGCATTTCCCAGGCATTCTTTGAGCTTCTTGTATTTGGATGTCTAGGACTCTAGCAAGGCTGGGGGAAGTTTTCCTCAATTATTCCCCCAAATATGTTTTCCAAACTTTTCGATTCTCTTCTTTCTCAGGAACACCAATTATTCTTAGGTTTGGTCATTTAACATAAACCCAGACTTCTTGGAGGCTTTGTTCATATTTTCTTATTCTTGTTTCTTTGCCTTTGTTGGATTGGGTTAATTCAAAAACCTTGCCTTTGAGCTCTGAAGTTCTTTCTTCTGCTTGTTTGATTTTATTGCTGAGACTTTCTAGAGCATTTCATATTTCTGTAAGTGCATCCGTGGTTTCCTGAAGTTTTGATTGTTTTTTATTTATGCTATCTATTTCACTGAAGATTTCTCCCCTCATTTCTTGTATGATTGTTTTTTTTGGTTTCTTTAAACTGGGCTTTGCATTTTTCTGGTACCTCCTTTATTAGCTTATTAACTGACCTTCTGAATTCTTATTCAGGTAAATCAGGGATGTCTTTTTTGTTTTGATCCATTGCTGGTGAGCTAGTGTAATTTTTTTTTGGGTGTTAAAGAACCTTATTTGTCATATTACCAGAATTCAATTCTGATTCCTTCTCATTTGGGTAGGTTCTGTCAGAGGGAAGGTCTAGGGTTTAAGGTGTTGTTCAGATTCTTTTGTCCTACATAGTATTCCCTTGATGTGGTACTCTTCCCATTTTTCTAGGGATGTGGTTTCCTGAGGCCTGAGCTGTAGTGATTGTTATTTCTCTCCTTGATCTAGGCAACCAGCAGGTCTACCAGGTCTACCAGGCTTTGGGCTGTTACTGGGGGTTGTCTGCACAGAGTCCTGTGTTATGAAACATCTGAGGTTCTCTTAGCCGTGGATACCACCATCTGCTCTGGTGAAGATGACAGGATGGTGAAATGGACTCTGTGGGGGTCCTTAGTTTTGGTTGTTTAATGTACTATTTCTATGCTGGTTGGCCTCCTGTCAGGAGGTGGCGCTTTCAAAAGAGCATCAGCTGTGGTAGTATGGGGAGGATTAGGTGGTGGGTGGGGCCCTATATCTCTTAAGGGTGTATGCCGTTTGTCTTCAGCTACCAGGGTGGGTAGGAAAGGACCATCAGGTGGGGGCAGTGCTAACTGTGTCTGAGCTCAGACTTTCCTTGGGCAGGTCTTGCTGTTGCTGCTGTGGGGGATGGGGGTGTGGGTTCCCAGGTCTATGGAGTTATGTTCCCATGAAACTCCGAAGACTGGTCTTACTCCCACAATGCCCTCTCCCACAACAGCACTGAGTCTGTTTCCAGGTAGTGGGTGAGCACAGCCGAGAACTTGCCCTAGGCTACCAGTCTTCCAGTTGTGAAAGCAAGTAGGGCTTTCATGCTTCCCTGCCTGTGAAGCCTGCACACCAGATTCATGCCCTCCCCTGAATTCTGGCTGGGAGACTTCTCATTTGGTTGGAATTGTTACAAAGTTCTGCTGGAGGTTTTTTTTTTTTTTCCCTGTGACCTTTTCCCAGTACCTCTGGCAGCCCTCTCAAAGGACCTTTGTGAGGCAAGGCAGAAATGGCTTTTTAGGGTACTCAGAGAGCTCTCAGGGCTTTTCCCACTGTTTCATCTACCCCTGTATTTCTCTCGGTTCTCTAAATTGACTTAGCTCCAGGTAAGGTTAGAATATTGTCTTTGGTGTAGACCTTCAGGTTCCCCAGTCAGGGTGTGTGTTCAGGGGCGGATGATCCCCCTTTTACACGTTTACAGTTTGGGCACTTAGAGTATTTGGGATGTTTCCCAGGTCCTGCAGGAGCAATCCGCTTCCTTTAGAGGGTTGGTGGGTTCTCTTGGCTTTCCTGATTTATTCCTGCAGTAGTTCTAGAGCAAAAGTTCATGATGCAGTACTTCACATGCTGCTCTGTCCATCGGAGTGGGAACTGCAATCTACTCCTGCCTCCCATCTGCCATGATCCTCTCCATACTGTTTTTCATAATGGCCATATTAACTTACATTCCCAACAGTGTGCACAAGGATTTCCTTTTCTTCACATTTTTGGCGACACTTGTTATCCTTTGTCTCTTTGCTCATAACCATTCTAACAGCTGTGAGGTGATATTTCATTATGATTTTAATTTTCATTTGCCTGATGATTAGTGATGTTGAGCACCTTTTTATATACCTGCCTGCTGGTCATTTGAATGACTTCTTTAGAGAAATGTCTATTCAGGTCCTTGGCTCATTTTGAAAATGGTTATTTCTATTTATTGATTGATATTGAATTATTTGAGTTGCCTATGTATTTTGTATATTAACCTCTTATCAGATATATGGTTTGCAAATATTTGCTTGTATTCTATAGGTTGTCTCGTCACTCAGTTGATTTTTTTGATTTGATACAATCCCATTTGTCTATTTTTTGCTTTTGTTGTCTGTGCTTTTGATACCATGTACAAAAATTCATTACTCAGACTAAGGTCAAGAAGCTTTCCCTCTATGTTTTATTGTTTTACAGTTTCACATTGTATGTTTAAGTCTTTAATTCATTTTGAGTTGATTTTTGTGTACGTATGGTACAAGGGATACAATTTCATTCTTTTGCATGTGGATAGACAATCTTTCCAACACTATTTATTGAAGAAACTGTTATTTTATTATGGTATGTTCTTGACACCTTTGTTGAACATCAGTTGATAGTAAATATGTGGATTTATTTCTGGGATGTTTTCTGTCTTGTTGGTCTATATGTCTATTTTTATGCTAGTGCCATGTTGCTTGATTACTACAGGTTTATCATATGTTTTGAAATCAGGTAGTGTAATGCCTTCCCTTTGTTTTTTCGCTCAAGTTTGCTTTGGCTATTTGATGTCTTATGTGGTTCCATAAGAATTTTAGGATTGTTTTTTCTATTCTTGTGAAAAATGTCATTGTAATTTTCATAGGGGTTGCTTTGAATTCATAGATTGCTTTGTTTAGTATGGACATTTTGGCAATATTAATTTTCCCGGTCTATCGACATGAGGTTTATATTTATTTGTGTCTTCTTCAGTTTTACTTGTTCACTTTGTAGTTTTCAGTGTACAAATATGTTATTTACTTGAATGAATTTATTTCTAAGTATTTTTGATGCTATTATAAATGTGATTGATTTGTTTTTTGTATAATCATTTTCAGTGTATGAAGATACTGATTTTCATATGTTGATTATTTATTTTAACATTTTACTTAATTACTTTATTAGTTGTTATAACTTCTGGTGGTGTTTTAAGGGTTTTCTATGTAAAAGATCATATAATTTTACTTACATTCCATTTTGGATTCCTTTTATTTCTTTTTCTTGCCTAATTACTCTGGCTTGTACTGTCAGTACTGTATTGAATACAAGTGATGAGAATGGGTATCCTTGTGTTGTTCCTGACCTTGGAGGAAAAGCTTTCAATTTTTCTCTGTTGAGTATGGTATTAGCTGTGGGCTTGCCATATATGGTCTTTAATATGTTGAGGTTTATTTCTTCTATACTTAATTTTTGAGAGTTTTTTTAAAATCATGAACAGATTTTTAATTTTGTCACATTTTCTTTCTGCATCTATTGAGATGATCATATAATTTTTTATCTTTTATTCTATTAATGGGTACATCACATTTATTAATTTTCTTATGTTGAACTCTTCTTGTATCCTAGTTATAAAGCCAACTTGATAATAGTGTATGATACTTTTAATGTGTTGTTGAATCTGGTTTGTTAGTGTTTGGTTGAGGATTTTTGCATCATGTTCATCCTGGATATTGGCCTATATTTTTCTTTTCTTGTAGTAATTTGCTTTGACTTTGGTGTCAGGGTAATGATGATACAAAAATGAATTTGGTAGTATTCTCTCCTGTACATTCTTGAGAAAATAGGTTTGTAAAATGAGTTTGGAAGTGCTCTCCTCTGTGAAGTTTTTGGGAAGACTGAGAAGGATTAGCATTACTTCTGCAAATGTTTGGTAGAATTCACCAGTGAAGTAATCTGGTTCTATACTTTTCTTTGACGGGAGACTTAAAAAACTACTGATTAAATCTACTTGTTATTGGTCTGTTCAGATTTTCTATTTTTTCATAATTCAGTCTCTAGGTTGTCTTCAGTTATTAGGTAGGTTGTATATGTCTAGGGATTACCAGTTTCTCCTACATTATCCAATTTGTTGGCTCATAATTGTTCATAGTACTCTTTTATGATCCTTTGTATTTCTGTGGTGTCAGTTGTAATGTCTGCTCTTTCATTTATATTTTTATTTATTTGAAACTTTTTTCCTTCTCACTTAAGCTAAAAGTTTAATAATTTTATTTTCTCAAAAATTCAACACTTAGTTTTGTGAATCTTTTCTATTTTTTTTATTATTATTATACTTTAAGTTTTAGGGTACATGTGCACAATGTGCAGGTTAGTTACATATGTATACATGTGCCATGCTGGTGTGCTGCACCCATTAACTCGTCATTTAGCATTAGGTATATCTCCTAATGCTATCCCTCCCCCATACCCCCACCCCACAACAGTCCCCAGAGTGTGATGTTCCCCTTCCTGTGTCCATGTGTTCTCATTGTTCAATTCCCACCTATGAGTGAGAACATGCGGTGTTTGGGTTTTTGTTCTTGTGATAGTTTACTGAGAATGATGATTTCCAGTTTCATCCATGTCCCTACAAAGGACATGAACTCATCATTTTTTATGGCTGCATAGTATTCCATGGTGTATATGTGCCACATTTTCTTAATCCAGTCTATCATTGATGGACATTTGGGTTGGTTCCAAGTCTTTGCTATTGTGAATAATGCCGCAATAAACATATGTGTGCATGTGTCTTTATAGCAGCATGATTTATAGTCCTTTGGGTATATACCCAGTAATGGGATGGCTGGGTCAAATGGTATTTCTAGTTCTAGATCCCTGAAGAATCGCCACACTGACTTCCACAATGGTTGAACTAATTACAGTCCCACCAACAGTGTAAAAGTGTTCCTATTTCTCCACATCCTCTCCAGCACCTGTTGTTTCCTGACTTTTTAATGATGGCCATTCTAACTGGTGTGAGATGGTATCTCATAGTGGTTTTGATTTGCATTTCTCTGATGGCCAGTGATGATGAGCATTTTTTCATGTGTCTGTTGGCTGCATAAATGTCTTCTTTTGAGAAGTGTCTGTTCATGTCCTTCACCCACTTTTTGATGGGGTTGTTTGTTTTTTTCTTGTAAATTTGTTTGAGTTCATTGTAGATTCTGGATATTAGCCCTTTGTCAGATGAGTAGGTTACGAAAATTTTCTCCCATTTTATAGGTTGCCTATTCACTCTGATGGTAGTTTCTTTTGCTGTGCAGAAGCTCTTTAGTTTAATTAGATCCCATTTGTCAATTTTGGCTTTTGTTGCCATTGCTTTTGGTGTTTTAGACATGAAGTACTTGCCCATGCCTATGTCCTGAATGGTAATGCCTAGGTTTTCTTCTAGGTTATTCATGGTTTTAGGTCTAACGTTTAAGTCTAATCCATCTTGAATTAATTTTTGTATAAGGTGTAAGGAAGGGATCCAATTTCAGCTTTCTACATATGGCTAGCCAGTTTTCCAAGCACCGTTTATTAAATAGGGAATCCTTTCCCCATTGCTTGTTTTTCTCAGGTTTGTCAAAGATCAGATAGTTGTAGATATGCGGCATTATTTCTGAGGGCTCTGTTCTGTTCCATTGATCTATATCTCTGTTTTGGTACCAGTACCATGCTGTTTTGGTTACTGTAGCCTTGTAGTATAGTTTGAAGTCAGGTAGCGTGATGCCTCCAGCTTTGTTCTTTTGGCTTAGGATTGGCTTGGCAATGTGGGCTCGTTTTTGGTTCCATATGAACTTTAAAGTAGTTTTTTCCAATTCTGTGAAGAAAGTCATTGGTAGCTTGATGGGGATGGCATTGAATCTATAAATTACCTTGGGCAGTATGGCCATTTTCACGATATTGATTCTTCCTACCCATGAGCATGGAATGTTCTTCCATTTGTTTGTATCCTCTTTTATTTCATTGAGCAGTGGTTTGTAGTTCTCCTTGAAGAGGTCCTTCACGTCCGTTGTAAGTTGGATTCCTAGGTATTTTATTCTCTTTGAAGCAATTGTGAATGGGAGTTCACTCATGATTTGGCTCTCTGTTTGTCGGTTATTGGTGTATAAGAATGCTTGTGATTTTTGTACATTGATTTTGTATCCTGAGACTTTGCTGAAGTTGCTTATCAGCTTAAGGAGATTTTGGGCTGAGCCAGTGGGGTTTTCTAGATATACAATCATGTCGTCTGCAAAGAGGGACAATTTGACTTCCTCTTTTCCTAATTGAATACCCTTTATTTCCTTCTCCTGCCTAATTGCCCTGGCCAGAACTTCCAACACTATGTTGAATTTATTGAGAGTTTTTAGCACGAAGCGTTGTTGAATTTTCTTAAAGGTCTTTTCTGCATCTATTGAGATAATCATGTGGTTTTTGTCTTTGGTTCTGTTTATATGCTGGATTACGTTTATTGATTTGCGTATATTGAACCAGCCTTGCATCCCGGGGATGAAGCCCACTTGATCATGGTGGATAAGCTTTTTGATGTGCTGTTGGATTCGGTTTGCCAGTATTTTATTGAGGATTTTTGCATCAATGTTCATCAAGGATATTGGTTTAAAATTCTCTTTTTTGGTTGTGTCTCTGCCCGGCTTTGGTATCAGGATGTGCTGTCCTCATAAAATGAGTTAGGGAAGATTCCCTCTTTTTCTGTTGATTGGAATAGTTTCAGAAAGAATGGTACCAGTTCCTCCTTGTACCTCTGGTAGAATTCGGCTGTGAATCCATCTGGTCCTGGACTATTTTTGGTTGGTAAGCTATTGATTATTGCCACAATTTCAGAGCCTGTTATTGGTCTATTCAGGGATTCAACTTCTTCCTGGTTTAGTCTTGGGAGGGTGTATGTGTCGAGGAATTTATCCATTTCTTCTAGATTTTCTGGTTTATTTGCGTAGAGTTGTTTGTAGTATTCTCTGATGGTAGTTTGTATTTCTGTGGGATTGGTGGTGATATCCCCTTTATCATTTTTTATTGCATCTATTTGATTCTTCTCTCTTTTCTTCTTTATTAGTCTTGCTAGCGGTCTATCACTTTTGTTGATCCTTTCAAAAAACCAGCTCCTGGATTCATTAATTTTTTCAAGGGCTTTTTTTGTCTCTATTTTCTTCAGTTCTGCTCTGATTTTAGTTATTTCTTGCCTTCTGCTGGCATTTGAATGTGTTTGCTCTTGCTTTTCTAGTTCTTTTAATTGTGATGTTAGGGTGTCAATTTTGGATCTTTCCTGCTTTCTCTTGTGGGGATTTAGTGCTATAAATGTATAATCCCTCTACACACTGCTTTGAATGTGTCCCAGACATTCTGGTATGTTGTGTCTTTGTTCTCGTTGGTTTCAAAGAACATCTTTATTTCTGCCTTCATTTCATTATGTACCCAGTAGTCATTCAGGAGCAGGTTGTTCAGTTTCTACGTAGTTGAGCTGTTTTGAATGAGATTCTTAATCCTGCGTTCTAGTTTGATCGCACTGTGGTCTGAGGGACAGTTTGTTATAATTTCTGTTCTTTTACATTTGCTGAGGAGTGCTTTACTTCCAACTATGTGGTCAATTTTGGAATAGGTGTGGTGTGGTGCTGAAAAAAATGTATATTCTGTTGATTTGGGGTGGAGAGTTCTGTAGATGTCTATTAGGTCTGCTTGGTGCAGAGCTGAGTTCAATTCCTGGGTATCCTTGTTAACTTTCTGTCTCGTTGATCTGTCTGTTGTTGACAGTGGGGTGTTAAAGTCTCCCATTATTATTGTGTGGGAGTCTAAGTCTCTTTGTAGGTCTCTAAGGACTTGCTTTATGAATCTGGGTGCTCCTGTATTGGGTGCATATATATTTAGGATAGTTAGCTCTTCTTGTTGAATTGATCCCTTTACCATTATGTAATGGCCTTTTTTGTCTCTTTTGATCTTTGTTGGTTTAATGTCTGTTTTATCAGAGACTAGGATTGCAACCCTTGCCTTTTTTTGTTTTCCATTTGCTTGGTAGATCTTCCTCCATCCTTTTATTTTGAGCCTATGTGTGTCTCTGCACATGAGATGGGTTTCCTGAATACAGCACACTGATGGGTCTTGACTCTTTATTCAATTTGCCAGTCTGTGTCTTTTAATTGGAGCATTTAGTCCATTTACATTTAAAGTTAATATTGTTATGTGTGAATTTGATCCTGTCATGATGATGTTAGCTGGTTATTTTGCTCGTTAGTTGATGCAGTTTCTTCCTAGCCTCGATGGTCTGTATAATTCGGCATGATTTTGTAGTGGCTGGTACCGGTTGTTCCTTTCCTTGTTTAGTGCTTCCTTCAGGAGCTCTTTTATGGCAGGCCTTGTGGTGACAAAATCTCTCAGCATTTGCTTGTCTGTAAAGGATTTTATTTCTCCTTCACTTTTATGAAGCTTAGTTTGGCTGGATATGAAATTCTGGGTTGAAAATTCTTTTCCTTAAGAATGTTGAATATTGGCTCCCACTCTCTTCTGGCTTGTAGAGTTTCTGCCGAGAGATCCGCTGTTAGTCTGATGGGCTTCCCTTTGTGGGTAACCCGACCTTTCTCTCTGGCTGCCCTTAACATTTTTTCCTTCATTTCAACTTTGGTGAATCTGACAATTATGTGTCCTGGAGTTGCTCTTCTCGAGGAGTATCTTTGTGGCGTTCTCTGTATTTCCTGAATCTGAATGTTGGCCTGCCTTGCTAGTTTGGGGAAGTTCTCCTGGGTAATGTCCTGCAGAGTGTTTTCCAACTTGGTTCCATTCTCCCCGTCACTTTAAGGTACCCCAATCAGACGCAGATTTGGTCTTTTCACATAGTCCCATATTTCTTGGAGGCTTTGTTCGTTTCTTTTTATTCTTTTTTCTCTAAACTTCCCTTCTTGCTTCATTTCATTCATTTCATCTTCCATCGCTGATACCCTTTCTTGCAGTTGATCGCATCGGCTCCTGAGGCTTCTGCATTCTTCACGTAGTTCTCGAGCCTCGGCTTTCAGCTCCATCAGCTCCTTTAAGCACTTCTGTATATTGGTTATTCTAGTTATACATTCATCTAAATTGTTTTCAAACTTTTTATCTTCTTTGCCTTTGGTTTGAATTTCCTCCTGTAGCTTGGAGTAGTTTGATCGTCTGAAGCCTTCTTCTCTCAACTCATCAAAGTCATTCTCCCTCCAGCGTTGTTCCATTGCTGGGGAGGAACTGTGTTCCTTTGGAGGTGGAGAGGCGCTCTGCTTTTTAGAGTTTCCAGTTTTTCTGCTCTGTTTTTTCCCCATCTTTGTGATTTTATCTACTTTTGGTCTTTGATGATGGTGACGTACAGATGGGTTTTTGGTGTGGATGTCCTTTCTGTTTGTTAGTTTTCCATCTAACAGACAGGACCCTCAGCTGCAGGTCTGTTGGAGTTTGCTAGAGGTCCACTCCAGACCCTGTTTGCCTGGGTATCAGCAGCGGTGGCCGTAGAACAGCGGATTTTCATGAACCGCGAATGCTGCTGTCTGATAGTTCCTGTGGAAGTTTTGTCTCAGAGGAGTACCCGGCCATGTGAGGTGTCAGTCTGCCCCTACTGGGGGGGTGCCTCCCAGTTAGGCTGCTCAGGGGTCAGGGGTTAGGGACCCACTTGAGGAGGTAGTCTGCCCGTTCTCAGATCTCCAGCTGCCTGCTGGGAGAACCACTGCTCTCTTCAAAGCTGTCAGACAGGGACATTTAAGTCTGCAGAGGTTACTGCTGTCTTTTTGTTTGTCTGTGCCCTGCCCCCAGAGGTGGAGCCTACAGAGGCAGGCAGGCAACCTTGAGCTGTGGTGGGCTCCACCCAGTTCGAGCTTCCCGGCTGCTTTGTTTATCTAAGCAAGCCTGGGCAATGGCGGGCGCCCCTCCCCCAGCCTTGCTGCCGCCTTGCAGTTTGATCTCAGACTGCTGTGCTAGCAATCAGCGAGACTCTGTGGGTGTAGGACCCTCTGAGCCATGTGCGGGATATAATCTCCTGGAGCGCCGTTTTTTAAGCCCATCGGAAAAGCGCTGTATTAGGGTGGGAGTGACCTGATTTTCCAGGTGCTGTCTGTCACCCCTTTCTTTGACTCAGAAAGGGAACTCCCTGACCCCTTGCACTTCCCGAGTGAGGCAATGCCTTGCCCTGCTTTGACTCGCACACGGTGCGCTGCACCCACTGTCCTGTGCCCACTGTCTGGCACTCCCTAGTGAGATGAACCCGGTGCCTCAGATGGAAATGCGGAAATCGCCTGTTTTCTGTATCGCTCACGTTGGGAGCTGTAGATCGGAGCTGTTCCTATTCGGCCATCTTGGCTGCCCTCTCCTATTTTTTTTTTTTTTTGTATCTCTGATTTCTGCTCAGATATTTTATTATTTACTTTCTTCTACCAGCTTTGGGTTTTGTTTGTTCTTCTTTTTCTAGTCTCTTGAGGTGTACAGTTAGGTTACTCATTTAAGATCTTTCTTATTCTTACTATAGGTATTTATTGGTCTAAAGTGTCTGAGAACCACTTTTGTTGCATCACAGGTTTTGGTATATTTTGTTGACATTTTAATTTGTTTCAAGATAATTTTTGATTTTCCTTTTAATTTCTTTTTTGACCCATTGGTTGTTCAGAAGCATGCAGCTGAATTTTTCTGTAATCGTGAATCTTTCAACTTTTTTCCTGTTATTGATTCCTAGTTTTATACCAGTTGTGGTATATAGTTGTGGTTGTAAAAGACACCTGATGTGACTTCAGTTTTCTTAAATTTATCAAGACTCTTTTTGTGACCTCACATATGACTACTTATAGAGAATGTTCCATGTGTGCTTCGGTAGAATTTATATTCTGCTGCTGTTGGGTAAAATGTTTGAATATGTCTCTTAGGTCCATTTTACCTAAAGTTTTATCTTTTATTGATTTTCTGTCTGGATATCCTGTTTTTGACACTGCTGCATTTAAATATCTTACTATTATTGTATTGCTGTTGATTTCTCCTTTCAGTTCTGTTTATATTTGCTTTCTATATTTAATAGCTCTCATATGTACACATTGCTATCTACTTATGATGATTTTATCCTTTTATAGTTGTATGTGTTTCCTTGTCCCTTGTTTTTATTTATGCCTTCATTTTCAGCCCACATGTGTCCTTAAAGCTAAAATAAAATAAATCTTTTGTAGACAACATATACTTGGATCTTGTTTTATTATATATTCAGCCATTGTATGTGTTTTGACTGGGGAGTTTAATTTATGTTAAAGTAATTATTAACAGAGATGGATTATTACTATTTTAATTGTGTCCTGTCTGATTGTGTTTCTTTTTTCCTCACTTGCTATCTCCCTTTGTGTTTTTGCTGATGTTCTTATAATGTTTTTTACTCCTTTCTCTTTTTCTTTTCTATGTCTTTTGTATGTATTTGTGATGGTCATTAGGTGTCTATAAAATATTCTGTAGTTACAATAGTTTGTTTTTAGCTGATAACAACTTAACTTCAACTGCTTACAAAACTGCACTTTTATTTCACCCCCCTCACACTTTGTTATTGTCATAATTTGCGTCTTTTTTATTGTGAATCCATTAACAAGTTTTTGTAATTTATAGTTCTTAATATTGTTTTTTAAATTTTTACACTGAAATGACAAGTTATTTATACTCTATCATTACAGTATGACAGTATTCTAATTTGTCTATATATTATATTTCATAGTGAGTTTTTTACTTTCATATGCTTTTGTGTTGCTGTTTAGCACCTTTTCATTCTTTTGTTGAATTCCCTTAGCATTTTTTGTAAGACAGGAATAATGGTAACATATTTCCTCAGCTTTTGTTTGGGAACCTCTATCTCTTCATTTTTGAAGGACAGTTATGCTGGGGATAGTATTCTTGGTTGACAGTTTTTTTTATTACTTTGAATTATATGCCCTCTCCCTCTGATGTGCAATATTTCTCCTGGGAAATTGGTGATAGCCTTGGGAACTCACTTGTACATTACTATTTGTTTTTATCTTGCTGCTTTCAAATTTCTTTCTGCCTTTAAATTTTGAAAATTTGATTGCAGGTTTATCTCAGTGTAGAATTCCTGGGGTTCATCCTGTTTGGGATATTTTGGGCTTCATAAATCTGGATGTCCATTTCCCTCAGAAGATTTGTGAAGTATTTGAACCCTATTCTTCCTTTAAATATGCTTTCTGACGTTTTTGGTCTCTCGTCTTCTTTGGCATTCCCATGATGTGTATACAGGTTTTCCCGCCTGTGTTTCATAAGGTTTGTAGACTTCCTTGACTCTTTTTAAACTATTTTTCTATTTTCTACTCTGATTGAATAATTTTAGTTTTTGCATTTGCTGATTCTTTAGTGGGCTTCGTCAGACGACTTTAGAAGCTCTCTAGGGAATTTTTCAGTTGGGTTTGATAATGGTATTTTGACCCAAATATTGTTTTTTCATCAATGTTTCTGTCTAGGAGGGTTTGTGGGGAGGAAAGTGGGTTGGGATTTTTTATTTTTCCATTTTGCTGCTGTCATTCTTTCTTATTTTTGAGTTTTGAGGGGTTGTTATATATTCTTGATATGTGTTTTATCAGATACCTGATTTACACTTTTCATCCGGTTAGTGTCTTGACTTCCCATTCTCTTGTCTTTCAAAGGGTAGATGTTCCTAATTTTGATTAAGTCCAGTTTATCAATTTCTTTTATTGATCTTACTTTTGGTAATGTGTGTAAGAAGAGTTTGTCTGTCTGAAGGTTACAAAGATTTTTATTATGTTTTTCTTCTAGGAATTTTATAGTTTTCATATTAATTTAAGGCCAATGATTCATTTTAAATAACATTTTTATAAGGTGCCACATAGGGATTGAAGTTTTTTTTTCTTTTTGCATGTGAACATCCAGTTGTTCTCAATCTAATTTTTAAAATGACTATTATATTTTCTTGACTGAACTGCCTTTGCATCATTGCTGAAAATCAACTGACCATGTATGTCTAGTTTTATTTCTGAACTCTCTATTCTGTTCCATTGATATATTTTCCTATCTTGATGCCAGTACAGTTTCAATATCCCTTATTTGAATTGTGTGGGAAAAGAAATGTTTTAGATTTTGGATTTTTTTTATTTTGGAATATTTCCATTATAGTTACCAGTTGATCATTATTAATCTGCCAACCCAAAATCTGAGATGCTCCTCTAAACGTTTTTCTTGAGTTTCATGTCGGTGTTCAAAACATTTTGGATTATGCAGCATTTGGATTTTGGATTTTTGGATTAGGGATACACAACTGGGGCCACATTGCCTTAATTACTGTGAATTCATAATATATCTGGAAGTTAGGTAGCATTAGTCTTCCAAATCTGTCCTTATTTGTCAAAGTTGTTTTTGGCTCTTCTAGGTCCTCACTATTTTTGTATAAATTGTAGAATCAGCTTGTGAATTTCTAAAATGATACTCAGTGGAATTTTAATTAGAATTTTATTAAATCTTTAGATCAATTTTTGGAAAATTGCCATCTGATACTGTTTAGCTCTGTTTCCTCACCCAAATCTCATCTCAAATTGCATTCCCCATGTGTTGAGGGAGGGACCTGATGGGAGGTGATTGGATTATGGGGGCGAATTTCCCCCTTGCTGTTCTCATGATAGTAAGTTCTCATGAGATGTGGTTGTTTGATAAGTGTCTGGCACTTCCCCCGTCTTGCTCTCTCTCTTCTGCTACCATGTAAGATGTGCCTTGTTTCCCCTTCACCTTCCATCATGATTGTAAGTTTCCTGAGGCCTCCCAAGCCATTCAGAACTGTGAGTCAATTAAACCTTCTTTGTTTATAAATTACCCAGTCTCAGGTAGTATCTTTATAGCACTGTGAAAATGGACTAATGCACTATCTTAACAATATTCTTTCAACTCATGAATATAGTATATCTTCATTTATTTAAGTCTTTATTTTTTTCTCAGTAATATTTTGTAGTTTATAATATAGAGATAGTGTATGTCTTTGTTCAAATTTATTTTTAAGTATTTCATATTTATACACTATTGTAAGAAGTACTTTAACATTTCTATTTATGATTGTTCATTGCGGATATGTAGAAATAAACTTGGTTTTTGTTCATTGACATTGTATCCTGCAATCTTGTTATACTCATTAATTATTTCTAGTGGTGCTTTTATATTCTTTTCCGTAGGATTTTCTACATAGGCAATCATGTCATCTGTGAATAAAGACAGTTTTAAGTTCTATTTTCAAATCAGGATGCTTTTAAATTTTTTCTTGCCTCATTTACCTGGCTCAAATTTCAAATACAATGTTGAATACAAATGGTTGATGTAGATATCCTTGGTTTGCTCCTGATCTTTGTGGAAAAACATTGAGTCTTTTACCATTAAGTACGATATTACTGTATTTTTTTGTTGATTTTTCTTATCATGCTGAGGCCTCTGTTCCTATTTTGCTGAGAATCTTATTGAGTGGGTATTTGACGTCATCATATGCTTTTAATGGATATATTGAGATCGTTACATGTTTTTGGTATGTTAATTTGATGATTGGTTGATTTTTGAATGTTAAACCAACCTTGTGTTCTTCATATAAATCCCAGTTAATCATGATACATCATGTGTTTTTTTGTGTAGTGGGATTTGATTTGTGAAAAGTTTATTTAGAATTTTTGCATATATGTTCATGAATATATTGGTCTGTAGTTTTATTTTCTTGTAATGTCTTCATTTGGTTTTTGTACCAGAATAATACTGGCATTCTTTTCAAGTTTCTGAAAGAGTTTGTGTAGAGTTGGTGTTATTTTTATCCTTATGTCTGGTGGAGTTCAACAACTAAAAGGGAATGGAATTTTCTATGTGGGTAGGTTTTTATCTTTAAGTTCAATTTCTTTATTTTATATGAAGCTTTTCACATTATTTAATTTTTCTGTCCTGAGTTTTAGTAATTTGTGTGTCTCAAGGAATTTATCAATTTTACCTAATTTGTCAAATTTATTAGTGTAAAGTTGTTCATAATGTTTCCTTATTAACCTTTAATATCTGTAGAGTCTATAGTGATTTCAGTATCTCATTCTAAAAAATGGATAATTTCTGTTTTTTCCCTTTTTTATTATTGATCACCATGTGAAGTGTATCAATTTTATTTGCTTTCTTAAAGAACTAGTAGTCTTTATTATCTCACTTTATTCTCTTTGTTTATTAAGTATAACTTTTATGTTATTTTAGTGATGGATTTCTTAAAAAATACATCTGTAACTTATCACAGTCTATATTCAAATGATGTGATGCCACTTCATGTATAGCATATGGAACTGAGAGTATTATAATTCAATTTTTATCCGTCTGACCTTTGTGCTATTGTTATGAAACATTTTACTTTTATATGTTTTATAGACTACACAATACATTGTTATTATTTTAAGATAAGTTTAGATAATATAAAAAGTCTTTATTTGTGTAGTTACATTTTCTGCTGCCTTTAATTCCTTTAGGTAGACCCCAGTTTCCAGCTGGAATCTTTTTTTTTTCTGCTTGAAACTTTATCATTTATTGGTAATGAAGGACTGCTGGTGATCAATTCTGTTAGCTTGTGTATGTCAGATAAAGTCTTCATTTAATCTTAATTTTGTTTATAAACAGCTTATTGAAATGTACTTTAAATTCCACAAAATTTACTTATTTACTTCAGTTTTTGGCACATATTTTTACTGGATAAATAATTCTAGTTTTTATTTTTTTCTTTCACTACTTTAAAAATGTTGTTCCACTTTGTTCTAGGTAGTTTCTGACAAGAAATAAGCTATTCTTACATTTATTTTTCTGTGAATAATGTGTCCTTTTTTGGGGTTGCTTTAGGATTTTTTTTTCAATTTCAACTTTTATTTTTTATTCTTGGGGTACATGTGTAGGTTTGTTACAAAGGTATATTGTGTGATGCTGAGGTTTGGAGTACAATTGAACCTGTCACCCAGGAAGTGAGCCTGTTACCCAATAGGTGGTTTTTCAATCTTTGCCCCCCTCCCCTTCTTGTATTCCCCAGTGTCTATCATTCCCATCTTTATGTCCATGTGTACCCAATGCTTAGCTCCCACTTATAAGTGAGAATATGTAGTATTTGGTTTTCTGTATCTGCATTAATTTGCTCAGGATAATTGTTGCCAGCTGCATCCATGTTGCTGCAAAGGATATGATTTCATTCTTTTTTATGGCTGTCTAGTATTTTATGCCATATATGTACCATATTTTCTTTTTCTAATCCATAATTGATGGTCAGCTGGTTTGATTCCATGGCTTTGCTATTGCAAATAGTGCTGCGATGAACATATGGGTGCATGTGTCTTTTTGGTAGAATGATTTTTTTTTTTTCTTTGAGGATATACCGGTAATGGGATACAGGGTCAAATGGTGGGTCAACTGTTGGTTCTTTGAGAAAGGATTTTCTTTATATCAGTGGTTTTAAGCAACTTGATTATATGTGCCTTACTGTAATTCTATTCTGGTTTCTTGGCTTACAATTTGTTGATTTTCTTGGATATACGGGTTTATAGTTTTCATCAAATATGGTAAATTTTGACCATTATTTCCTCACATAATTTTTCTCTATCCTTCCTCTTCCAATCTTTTCTTTCTGTAAGGTACTTCAGCCCGGGTGCGGTGGCTCACGCCTGTAATCTCAGCACTTTGGGAGGTCAAGGTGGGTGGATCACGAGGTCAAGAGATCGAGATCATCCTGGCCAACATGGGGAAACCCTATCTATACTAAAAATACAAAAACTAGCTGGGCACAGTGGCACTCACCTGTAGTCCCAGCTACTTGGGAGGCTGAGGCAGGAGAATTGCTTGAACCCGGGTGGCAGAGGTTGCAGTGAGCTGAGATCCTGCCACTGCACTCCAGCCTGGCGACAGAGTGAGACTCCGTCTCAAAAAATAAAAATAAAAATAAAAATAAAAAATAAAAAAGGTACTCCAATAGCACAAGCTTGAAGTTGTCCCACAGCTCAATGATACTTATGTTTTTAGTCTTTTTTCTTTTAGATAATTTCTGTTTCTGTGTCTTAATTTCATCATCATTCTTTTCTTCTACAATGTTCAATGTGAATCTTCATTCCATTCAGTATAATTTTTTATCTCGTTAATTATATATTTTTGTTTCTAAAAGTGGAATTTGAACTTTTGTACATTCCCATATGTCTATCTAATATGTACAATATTTTCTCTAACTTCTTGAACATATGGAATACAGTTAAAATAACAGTTTTTATGTCCTTGTCTATTTTATCATTTCTTTTAATTCTGGGTCAGTTTTAACTGATTGATTATTCTGTTAATTATTGGCAGCATTTTCTGACTATTGCATGCTACATAATGTTTGATCAGATGCTAGATGTTTTGACTTTTAATGTGTCTCTTTCTCCTTCCTCTTTAAGGTCAATAACTCTTAGATTTGTCCTGTTGACGCTATTTTCTAGATCTCGTAGATGTGCTTCATTCTTTCCCATTCTTTTTTTTTTTTGTCTCCTCTGACTGTGTACTTTCATATAAACTGTGATACGGTTTGGCTCTTTCCCCACCCAAAATCTCATCTTGAATTGTAATCCCCATAATCCCTACATGTCAAGGGTGGGACCAGGTGGAGATAATTGGATCATTCGGGTGGTTTCTCCCATGCTGTTCTTGTGATAATGCTTGAGTCTCATAAGATCTGATGGTTTTATAAGCGTCTGGCATTTCCCCTGCTTGTACTCACTCCATCTTGTTACTCTGTGAAGGAGGTGCCTGCTTCTTCTTTGCCTTCCAGTATGATTGTAAGTTTCTTTAGGTCTCCATGGCCATGTGGAACTTTGAGTCCATTAAAACTCTTTCCTTTATAAATTACTAATCTCAGGTATTTCTTCTTAGCAGTGTGAAAATGGACTAATACAGCCTGTGATGGTTAATACTCAGTGTCAACTTGATTTGATTGTAGATGCAAAGTATTGATCCTGGGTGTGTCTGTGAGGGTGTTGGCAAAGGAGATTAACATTTGAGTTGGTGGGCTGGGAAAGGCAGACCCACCCTTAATCAGGTGGGCACCATCTAATAAGCTGCCAATGTGGCCAGAATGTTGCAGGCAGAAAAAACGTGAAAAGACTAGACTGGCTTAGCCTTCAAGCCTACACCTTTCTCCCATGCTGGATGCTTCCTGCACTTGAACATCAAACTCTATGTTCTTCAGCTTTGGTACTCAGACTGTTTCTCCTTGCTCCTCAGCTTGCAGATGGCCTATTGTGGTATCTTGTGATTGTGTGAATTAATACTCCTTAATAAACTCCCTTTATATATATATATCCTATTAGTTCTGTCCCTCTAGTGAACCCTACAGCCTGTCTTTGAGCTTACTAATTTTTTCCTTTGCCTGATCAATTCTGGTATTAAGAGACCCAGATGCATTCTTCAGTATATCAATTTCAAGTTTTTACTCCATGATTTCTGCTTGACTCTTTTTAATTATTTCAATCTCTTTGTTAAACTTAATAATTCAGAATTTCTTCTCTGTGTTATCTTAGATTTCTTTGAGTTACCTCAAAATAGCTATTTTTAATTCTCTGTCTGAAAGGTCTCATCTTTGTCCCTCTGGGATTGGTTCCTAGTGCCTTATGTAGTTCACTTTCATTTGATGAGGTCCTGTTTTCCTGGATGGTTTTAATGTTGTGGATGTTTGATGGTGTCTGGGCATTGAAGAGTTACATATTTTTTGTTGTCTTCACAATCTTGGCTTATTTGTACTCCTCCTTTTTGGGAAGGCTTTTCAGGTATTCAAAGGGACTTGGGTATTGTGATCTAAGTTTTCGGTCACTGCAGCTGTTTCTGCATTAAGGGTACCCCAAGCCTAGTAATGATCTGGTTCTTGCAGACTCATAGGTGCACCACTTTGGTGGCCTTGAATAAAATCTGGAAGAATTCTCTGGATTACCAGGCAGAGACTCTTGTTCTTTTCTCTTACTTTCTCTAAAATAAGCAGAACGTCTCTTTCTCTTTTGAACTGTCTGGAGCTGGAGGAGGGGTGACACAAGTACCTCTGTGGCCAGCACCTTTGGGACTGCACTGGGTTAGACCTGAAGCCAGCATAGCCCTGAGTCTTGCTCGAGGTCAACTGTAACCACCACTTGGCTACCACCTATGTTTGCTCAAGGCCTGGGGGCTGTACAGTCAGCAGGTGGCAAAGCCAGACAGGCTTGTGTAGCTTCCTTCAGGGTGGCAAGTTCTCCTGTGCTCCAGGTGGATCCAAAGATGCTATCTGGGAACCAGGACCTGGATTCAGAAACTTTAGGAATCTACCTGGCACTTTATTCTACTGTGGCTGAGCTGGCATCCAAGACACAAGACAAAGTTCTTCCCACTCTTCCCTCACCAACTCCCCAGGCAGAGGAATCTCCTTGTGTTCACCACTACCACCTGCCCACGGGGAGCACCGCCAGGGCACTGCCAATTTCACTTCAGATCCAAGGGCTCTTCAGCCAGCTTGTGGTATATTTTGCCAGGTGTAGGGCTCATGTTTCATTGCAGTGGGCTCCTCTTTGGCCCAGGGCATGTCCAGAGATGCTGTCCAAGAGCAATGGCCCGAATCAGAGACCTCACGAGTCCACCTGATGCCCTGTCCCTCTTTGGCCAAGCTGACACCCAAGCTCAAGACAAAGTCCCCTTCATTTCTCCCCTTGCTTTTCTCAAGGAGAAGGGACCACTCCCTGTAGCCATGATGGCTGTGAATGAAGCCAGCATGTCTCATACTATCACTCAAGACCCACAGCCTGTACCACCTGGTTGTTGCTGATGATTATTCAGGGCTCAACGGCTCTTCAGTCAGCACGTGGCGAATCCTGTCAGGACCAGGTCCTTTCCTTTAAGAAATAAGGCTCTTCTTCAGCCTAGGGCATGTCCAGAAATGTCATCCAGGAGCTAGTGCCTGGAATGAGGGCCCCGTGACTCTGCCAGGTGCCCTATCCCACTGTAGCTAAGTTGACATCCAAGTTGCAAGACAAAGTCCTCTCCAATCCTGTTTTTCCTTTTCTCAAGTGAAAGGATGGAGTCACCCCATGAGCTACAAGCCACACTGCTTTGGATTAGAGAAGAGGTGATGTAAGCACTCCCTTAGCCACCTCGCTGGTGTTTCACTGGGCACTAGGTTACCTGGCTCCTCTTCTTCCCATTTACTGGCTCTTAGCCCAGCACAGCAGTAGGAGTTACCATCCTTGTGGCCTAGACAGCCTTTCAAGTTTATTTAGGACCCCAGAGTACTTTATTCAGTGGTGGCAGCACTGCATTCCAGTGCATTCCAATGCAGTATCCCCCAGTTGCTGTGTCAATTTTGGTGTTCCCATGAGGAGGACGATTGGTGGAAGCTCCTCTTCAGCCATCTTGCTCCTCCTCCCCTACTATTTTGAGGGCATTATTCTCAGTTTCTCTATTTTTTCTGTTACAGTGTAAATAATAATAGCAATTACCTTATTGTTGTGGGAGATATGAGGATTAAATTGGATAGTTTATCATCTTAATTGAAATACTAGCATGATGCCTGGCATATAGCAAGCACTATAAAACTTAGATATTATTCATACACCTATGCAGTGACCAGCAGTATGCCTTCTAGATAGTAAATGCTAAATAAATATTTGTGAACCTAATCAATCAAATAAATAAATAAATAAATAAATAAATCCAAATAAAACTTTTTATTTTATATTTGGATTAGGTAACACCCATTCTTTTTTTAAACTTTTAAGTTCAGGGGTATGTGTGCAGGTTTGTTACATATGTAAACATGTCATAGGGGTTTGTTGTACAGATTATTTCATCACCCATGTATTAAGCCAGCACCCGTTAGTTATTTTTCCTGATCCTCTCCCTCCTCCCACTCTCCATCCTCCAGAAGGCCCCAGTGTGTGTTGTTCCCCTCTATGTGTCAATGTGTTCTCATCATTTAACTCCCAATTGTAAGTGAGAACATGCAGTATTTGGTTTTTTGTTCCTGTGTTAGTTTGCTAAGGATAATGGCCCCCAGCTCCAACCCTGTCCCTGCATGCATAGTATTCCATTGTATATATGTACCACATTTTCTTTATCCAGTCTATCATTGATGGACATTTGGGAAGATTCCATGTCTTTGCTATTGTGAATAGTGCTGCAATTAACATACACACGCATGTGTCTATATAATAGAACAATTTATATTCGTTTGGGTATATACTCTAGTAATGGGATTGCTGGGTTGAATGGTAGTTCTGTCTTTAGGTCTTCGAGGAATCACCACACTGTCTTCTACAATGGTTGAACTAAGTTACACTTCCCCCAACATTGTAGAATCATTCTTTTTTTCCTCCACAACCTTGCCAGCATCAGTTATTTTTATGACTTTTTAATAATAGCTATTCTGACTGGTGTGAAATGGTATCTCATTGTGGTTTTGATTTGCATTTTTCCAGTGAACAGGGATGTTTAGCTTTTTTTTCATATAATTGTGTTCACTTGTATGTGTTCTTTTGAGAAGTGTCTGTTCATGTCCCTTGCCCACTTTTTAATGGGGTTATTTTGTTTTTTCTTATATGTTTGTTTAAGTTCCTTATAGATTCTTGATATTAGACCTTAGTCAAATGCATAGTTTGCAAAATTTTTCTCCCATTCTGTAGGTTTTCTGATTACTCTGTTGATCGTTTCTTTTGCTGTGCAGAAGCTCTTTAGTTTACTTAGGTCACACTTATTTTTTTTTTATTTTGTCACCATCATCACATCTTCATCATCAAATCTTTGCCAGGGCATTTGTTTAAAATGGTATTTCCTAGGTTTTCTTCTAGGGATTTTATAGTTTTAGGTTTTACATTTAAGTCTTTAATTCATCTTGAGTTGGTTTTTGTATTTGGTAAAAGGAAGGGATCCAGTTTCAGCCTTCTGCATATGGCTAACCAGTTATCCCGGCACCATTTATTGAACAGGGTGTCCTTTCCCCATTGCTTGTTTTTGTCAGGTTTGTCAAAGATCAGATAGTTGTTTGTTTGCAGTCTTATTTCTTGGTTTCTATTTTGTTCCATTGGACTATGTGTCTGTTTTTGTACCAATACATGCTGTTTTGGTAACTGTAGCTCTGTAGGATTGTTTGAAGTCGAGTAGCGTGATGCCTCCAGCTTTGTTGTTTTTGCTTAGGATTGTCTTGGCTATTCGAGCTCTTTTTTTGGTTCCCTAAGAATTTTAAAAAGTTTTTTTTCTAGTTCACCTGTGAAGAATCTCAATGCTAATTTAATAGGAATAGCATCAAATCTATAAATTGCTTTGGGCAGTATTGCCATTTTAAAAATATTGATTCTTCCTATCCATGAGCATGTAATGCTTTTCCATTTGTGTGTGTCATCTCTAATTTCTTTGAGCAGTGGTTTGTAGTTCTCCTTGTAGAGATTTTTTACCTCCCTAGTTAGTTGTATTCCTAGGTATTTTACTCTTTTTGTGGCAATTGTTAATGTGAGTTTGTTCCTGATTTGGCTCTTGGCTTGGCTGTTGTTGGTTTGTAGGAATGCTAGCAATTTCTGCACATTGATTTTGTATATAAAATATTGTAAGATTTTGCTGAAGTTGTTTATGAGCTTAAGAAGCTTTTGGGCTGAGATGATGGTGTTTTCCAGATATGGGATAATGTCGTCTGCAAGCAGGGATACTTTGACTTCCTCTCTTCCAATTTGGATACCTTTATTTCTTTCTCTCTCCCGATTGCCCTGGCGAGGACTTCAAATACGATGTTGAATTGGAGTGGTGAGAGAGGGCATCCTTGTCTTTTGATTGTTTTTAAGGGGAATACTTCCAGCTTTTTCCCATTCAGTATGATGTTAGCTGTGGGTTTGTTATATATGGCTCTTATTATTTTGAGCTATGTTCCTTCAATACCTAGTTTATTGAGAGTAAAAATCCTCGACAAAATATTGGCAAACTGAATCCAGCAGAACATGAAAAAGCTTATACACAGTGATCAAGTAGGCTTTATCCCCAGGATTCTTGGTTCACTATAGGCAAATCAATAAATGTGACTCATCACATAAACAAAAACAAAACCACAAAAGACAAAAACATGATTTTCTCAATAAATGCAGAAAGCACAAATTCTTTTATGTGTTTATTTCTCCCTTTAACTTGGTAGAAAATTTTCATTTCTTAGAAAACAAGATGGTGATGGTTAATATTAGGTGTCAATGTGATTGGATTGAAGGATGCCTGGATAGCTGGTAAAGTATTTTTTTGGTTGTATTAGTGAGGGTGTTGCCAGAGGATATTGATATTTGAGTCAGTGGACTGGGAGGAGGGAGAGGACCCACCCTCACTGTGGGTGGGCACCATCCAATCGGCTGCCAGCGCCGCCAGAGCAAAGTAGGCAGAATAAGGTGGGATATGCTGGCTTGCTTAGTCTTCTGGCTTTCATCTTTTTCCCATGCTGGATGCTTCCTTCTTTTTCTCCTGCCCTTGGACATCAGATTCCAGCTTCTTCGACTTTTGGACTCTTGGACTTAACGCTAGTGGTTTTCTGGGGGCTCTCTGGCCTTCAGCCACAGACTGAAGGGTGCTCTGTTGGCTTCACTACTTTTGAGGCTTTTGGACTTGGACTGAGCCACTACTGGCTTTTTTCTTCTTCAGCTTGCAGATGGCCTATTGTGGGACTTTGCCTTGTGATCGTGTGAGCCTTTGATCCTAATAAACTCCCTTTCAAATATACATATATCCTATTAGTTGTGTCCTTCTGGAGAACCCTAATACTTAGATATATTTGCATTGATGGTTAAAATTTAAAATTATGAATATAAATTTTCGTTTGATATATTGAATTGCATTGCTCTTAGTGAGTTTTAGGATATTGAAGACAATTTTTTTTCTAAGACCCTTTTTTAATTTGTTTAACCCAATTAGAATTGTTTGTTTGTTTTTTTTTCTTTTTTTTAAAAGTTATACTTTGAGTTCTAGGGTACATGTGCACAACGTGCAGGTTTGTTACATATGTATACATGTGCCATGTTGGTGTGCTGCACCCATTAACTCATCATTTACGTTAGGTATATCTCCTAATGCTGTCCCTCCCCCATACTCCCACCCCACGACAGGCCCTGGTGTGTGATGTTCCACTTCCTGTGTCCAAGTGTTCTCATTGTTCAGTTCCCGACTATGAGTGAGAACGTGCGGTGTTCGGTTTTCTGTCCTTGCGATAGTTTGCTGAGAATGATAGTTTCCGGCTTCATCCATGTCCCTACAAAGGACATGACCTCATCCTTTTTTATGGCTGCATAGTATTCCATGGTGTATGTGTGCCACATTTTCTTAATCCAGTCTTTCATTGATGGACAGTGGATTCGTTCCAAGTCTTTGCTATTGTGAATAGTGCTGCAATAAACATACGTGTGCATGTGTCTTTATAGCAGCATGATTTGTAGTCCTTTGGGTATATACCCAGTAATGGGATGGCTGGGTCAAATGGTATTTCTAGTTCTAGATCCTTGAGGAATTGCCACACTGTCTTCCACAATGGTTGAACTAATTTACAGTCCCACCAAGAGTGTAAAAGTGTTCCTATTTCTCCACATCCTCTCCAGCACCTGTTGTTTCCTGACTTTTTAATGATCGCCATTCTAACTGGTGTGAGATGGTATCTCACTGTGGTTTTGATTTGCATTTCTGTGATGGCCAGTGATGATGAGCATTTTTTCATGTGTCTGTTGGCTGCATAAATGTTTTCTTTTGAGAAGTGTCTGTTCATATCCTTTGCCCACTTTTTGATGGGGTTGTTTATTTCTTTTCTTGTAAATTTGTTCGAGTTCTTTATAGATTCTGGATATTAGCCCTTTGTCAGATGAGTAGATTGCAAAAATTTTCTCCCATTCTGTAGGTGGCCTGTTTACTCTGATGGTAGTTTCTTTTGCTGTGCAGAAGCTCTTTAGTTTAATTAGATCCCATTTGTCAATTTTGGCTTTTGTTGCCATTGCTTTTGGTGTTTTAGACATGAAGTCCTTGCCCATGCCTATGTCCTGAATGGTATTGCCTAGGTCTTCTTCTAGGGTTTTTATGGTTTTAGGTCTAACATGTAAGTCTTTAATCCATCTTGAATTAATTTTTGTGTAAGGTGTAAGGAAGGGATCCAGTTTCAGCTTTCTACATATGGCTAGCCAGTTTTCCCAGCACCATTTATTAAATAGGGAATCCTTTCCCCATTTCTTGTTTTTGTCAGGTTTGTCAAAGATCAGATAGTTGTAGATGTGTGGTATTATTTCTGAGGACTCTGTTCTGTTCCATTGATCTATATCTCTGTTTTGGTACCACTACCATGCTGTTTTGGTTACTGTAGCCTTGTAGTATAGTTTGAAGTCAGGTAGCGTGATGCCTCCAGCTTTGTTCTTTTGGCTTAGGATTGTCTTGGCAATGCGGGCTCTTTTTTGGTTCCATATGAACTTTAAAGTAGTTTTTTCCAATTCTGTGAAGAAAGTCATTGGTAGCTTGATGGGGATGGCATTGAATCTGTAAATTACCTTGGGCAGTATGGCCATTTTCACGATATTGATTCTTCCTACCCATGAGCATGGAATGTTCTTCCATTTGTTTGTATCCTCTTTTATTTCCTTGACCAGTGGTTTGTAGTTCTCCTTGAAGAGTTCCTTCACATCCCTTGTAAGTTGGATTCCTAGGTATTTTATTCTCTTTGAAGCAATTGTGAATGGGAGTTCATTCATGATTTGGCTCTCTGTTTGTCTGTTATTGGTGTATAAGAATGCTTGTGATTTTTGCACATTGATTTTGTATCTTGAGACTTTGCTGCTGAAGTTGCTTATCAGCTTAAGGAGATTTTGGGCTGAGATGATGAGGTTTTCTAAATGTACAATTATGTCATCTGCAAACAGGGCCAATGTGACTTCCTGTTTTCCTAATTGAATCCCCTTTATTTCTTTCTCCTGCCTGATTGCCCTGGCCAGAACTTCCAACACTATGTTGAATAGGAGTGGTGAGAGAGGTCGTCCCTGTCTTGTGCCAGTTTTCAAAGGGAATGCTTCCAGTTTTTGTCCATTGAGTATGATATTGGCTGTGGGTTTGTCATAGATAGCTCTTATTATTTTGAGATATGTCCCATCAATACCGAATTTATTGAGAGTTTTTTAGCATGAAGGGATGTTGAATTTTGTCAAAGGCCTTTTCTGCATCTATTGAGATAATCATGTGGTTTTTGTCTTTGGTTCTGTTTATATGCTGGATTATGTTTATTGATTTTTGTATGTTGAACCAGCCTTGCATCCCAGGGATGAAGCCCACTTGATCCTGGTGGATAAGCTTTTTGAGGTGCTGCTGGATTTGGTTTGCCAGTATTTTATTGAGGATTTTTGCATCGATGTTCATCAAGGATATTGGTCTATAATTCTCTTTTTTTGTGTCTCTGCCAGTCTTTGGTATCAGGATGATGTTGGCCTCATAAAATGAGTTAGGGAGTATTCCCTCTTTTTCTATTGTTTGGAATAGTTTCAGAAGGAATGGTACCAGCTCCTTTTTGTACCTCTGGTAGAATTCGGCTGTGAATCCATCTGGTCCTGGACTTTTTTTGGTTGGTAGGCTATTAATTATTGTCTCAATTTCAGAGGCTGTTATTGGTCTATTCAGGGATTCAACTTCTTCCTGGTTTAGTCTTGGGAGGGTGTATGTGTCGAGGAATTTATCCATTTCTTCTAGATTTTCTAGTTTATTTGCGTAGAGGTGTTTATAGTATTCTCTGATGGTAGTTTGTATTTCTGTGGGATCGGTGGTGATATCCCCTTTATCATTTTTTGTTGCGTCTATTTGATTCTTCTCTCTTTTCTTCTTTATTAGTCTTGCTAGCGGTCTATCACTTTTGTTGATCTTTTCAAAAAACCAGCTCCTGGATTCATTAATTTTTTGGAGGTTTTTTTTGTGTCTCTATCTCCTTCAGTGCTGCTCTGATCTTAGTTATTTCTTGCCCTCTGCTAGCTTTTGAATGTGTTTGCTCTTGCTTCTCTAATTCTTTCAATTGTGATGTTAGGATGTCAATTTTAGATCTTTCTTGCTTTCTCTTGTTGGCATTTCGTGCTATAAATTACCCTCTACACACTCCTTTAAATGTGTCCCAGAGATTCTGGTATGTTGTGTCTTTGTTCTCATTGGTTTCAAAGAACATCTTTATTTCTGCCTTCATTTCGTTATGTACCCAGTAGTCATTCAGGAGCAGGTTGTTCAGTTTCTAGGTAGTTGAGCTGTTTTGAGTGAGTTTCTTAATCCTGAGTTCTAGTTTGATTGCACTGTGGTCTGAGAGAGAGTTTGTTATAATTTCTGTTGTTTTGCATTTGCTGAGGAGTGCTTTACTTCCAACTATGTGGTCAATTTTGGAATAGGTGTGGTGTGGTGCTGAGAAGAATGTATATTCTGTTGATTTGTGGTGGAGAGTTCTGTAGATGTCTATTAGGTCTGCTTGGTGCAGAGCTGAGTTTAATTCCTGAGTATCCTTGTTAACTTTCTGTCTCATTGATCTGTCTGTTGTTGACAGTGGGGTGTTAAAGTCTCCCATTATTATTGTGTGGGAGTCTAAGTCTCTTTGTAGGTCTCTAAGGACTTGCTTTATGAATCTTGGTGCTCCTGTAATGGGCACATATATATTTAGGATAGTTAGCTCTTCTTGTTGAATTGATCCCTTTACCATTATGTAATGGCCTTCTTTGTCTCTTTTGATCTTTGTTGGTTTAAAGTCTGTTTTATCGGACAGTAGGATTGCAAACCCTGCCTTTTTTTGTTTTCCATTTGCTTGGTAGATCTTCCTCCATCCTTTTATTTTGAGCCTATGTGTGTCTGCACACGAGATGGGTTTCCTGAATACAGCACACTGATGGATCTTGAGTGTTTATCCAATTTGCCAGTCTGTGTCTTTTAAGTGGAGCATTTATTCCATTTACATTTAAGGTTAATATTGTTATGTGTGAATTTGATCCTGTCATGATGATGTTAGCTGGTTATTTTGCTCCTTAGTTGATGCAATTTCTTCCTAGCATCAATGGTGTTTATAATTTGGCATGATTTTGCAGTGGCTGGTACCGGTTGTTCCTTTGCATGTTTAGTGCTTCTTTCAGGAGCTCTTGTTGGGCAGGCCTGGTGGTGACAAAATCTCTCAGCATTTGCTTGTCTGTAAAGGATTTTATTTCTCCTTCACTTTTATGAAGCTTAGTTTGGGTGGATAAAAATTCTAGGTTGAAAATTCTTTTCTTTAAGAATGTTGAATATTGGCCCCCACTCTCTTCTGGCTTGTAGGGTTTCTGCCGAGAGATCCGCTGTTAGTCTGATGGGCTTCCCTTTGTGGGTAACCTGACCTTTCTCTCTGGCTGCCCTTAACATTTTTTCCTTCATTTCAACTTTGGTGAATCTGATAATTATGTGTCCTGGAGTTGCTCTTCTCAAGGAGTATCTTTGTGGCGTTCTCTGTATTTCCTGAATGTGAATGTTGGCCTGCCTTGCTAGGTTGGGGAAGTTCTCCTGGATAATATCCTGCAGAGTGTTTTCCAACTTGGTTCCATTCTCCCCGTCACTTTCAGGTATACCAATCAGACGTAGATTTGGTGTTTTCACAAAGTCACATATTTCTTGGAGGCTTTGTTCTTTTCTTTTTACTCTTTTTTCTCTAGACTTCCCTTGTCACTTCATTTCATTCATTTGATCTTCAATCACTGATACCCTTTCTTTGAGTTGATCGAATTGGTTACTGAAGCTTGTGCATTCATCACGTAGTTCTTGTGCCATGGTTTTCAGCTCCATCAGATCATTTAAGGACTTCTCTACACTGGTTATTGTAGTTAGTCATTCATCTAATCTTTTTTCAAGGTTTTTAGCTTCTTTGTGATGGGTTCGAACTTCCTCCTTTAGCTTGGAGAACTTTGATTGTCTGAAGCCCTCTTCTCTCAACTCATCAAAGTCATTCTCCATCCAGCTTTGTTCCGTTGCTGGCGAGGAGCTGTGTTCCTTTTGAAGGGGAGGGGCGCTCAGATTTTTAGAATTTTCAGCTTTTCTGCTCTGTTTTTTCCCCATCTTTGTGGTTTTATCTACCTTTGGTCTTTGATGATGGTGACGTACAGATGGGGTTTTGGTGTGGATGTCCTTTCTGTTTGTTAGTTTTCCTTCTAACAATCAGGTCCCTCAGCTGAAGGTCTGTTGGAGTTTGCTGGAGGTCCACTCCAGACCCTGTTTGCCTGGGTATCAGCAGCGGAGGCTGTAGAACAGTGAATATTGCTGAACAGTAAATGTTGCTGCCTGATCATTCCTCTGGAAGCTTCGTCTCAGAGGAGTACCTGGCCGTGTGAGGTGTCAGTCTGCCCCTATTAGGGGGTGTCTCCCAGTTAGGCTCCTCAGGGTCAGGGACCCACTTGAGGAGGCAGCCTGTCCGTTCTCAGATCTCAGACTCCTTGCTGGGAGAACCACTACTCTCTTCAAAGCTCTCAGACAGGGACATTTAAATCTGCAGAGGTTTCTGCTGCCTTTTGTTCGGCTATGCCCTTGCCCCAAGAGGTGGCGTCTACAAAGGCAGTCAGGGGTCCTTGAGCTGCAGTGGGCTCCACCCAGTTCGAGCTTGTGGGCCGCTTTGTTTACCTACTCAAGCCTCAGCAATGGCGGGTGCCCCTTCCCCAGCCTCACTGCCCCCTTGCAGTTTGATCTCAGACTGCTGTGCTAGCAATGAGCGAGGCCCGGTGGGCGTGGGACCCTCCAAGCCAGGCGCGGGATATAATCTCTTGGTGTGCCGTTTGTTAAGACCATTGGAAAAGCACAGTATTAGGGTGGGAGTGACCCAGTTTTCCAGCTGCTGTCTGTCATGGCTTCCCTTGGCTAAGAAAGGGAATTCCCTGACCCCTTGCACTTCCTGGGTGAGGCAATGCCTCACCCTGCTTCGGCTGTCACTCGGTGGGCTGCACCCACTGTCCTGCACCCACTGTCCAACATGCCCCAGTGAGATGAACCCAGTACCTCCGTTGGAAATGCAGAAATCACCTGTCTTCTGCGTTGCTCACGCTGGGAGCTGTAGGCTGGAGCTGTTCCTGTTTGGTCATCTTGGAACTGCCCGATAATTTTTACTTAAAATTGTCCTAAGTAGCCTCTTTTAATTATCTTTATTCAGTGTTATGGTTTGATTATCTCCTTTAAAATTTATGTTTAAATTTAATTGCTATTGTAATATTTTTGAGAGGTGAGACCTTTAAGAGGTGATTAGGTCATGAAGGGATTAATGCCATTATTGTGGGAGTGGGTTAGTTACATGAGAGTTCAGCCCCCCTTTTCTCTCTCTTATGGGCCCTTTTGCTCTTCTGTCTTCCACCATGGTATCACCCTCCTCAGATATGACACTTTGCTCTTAGACTTCCTAGGCTTCAGAACTGTGAGCCAAATAACCTTTTTCTTTATAAATCACCCAGTCTGTGGTATTTTGTTATAGCAGCAGAAAATGAATTAAGACAGAAAATTGGTACAGGAATCTCAGGCTGTTGTCATCACAAATATATGAATATGTGGGAGTGGCTTTGGATCTGCGTAATAGATAGAGGCTCAAAGAACTTGGAGGAGTAGGCTAGAAGAATCCTGTATTGCCATAAAAGAAGCAGTAAGGGTGATTCTGGTGAGGGCTCAAGAGATCTATATGGAAATTCTGAATTTTCCAAGAGATTACTTAAGTGGTTGTGAGCAGAATTTTGGTAGATATATAGACAGCAAAGGCTATTCTGATGAAGTTCAGACAGAAGTAAGGAAAAGGTATTGGAAACTGGAGTAAAGACCATCCTCATTATAAAGTTGCAAAGACTTTGGTTGAATTGTTTCACTTCCTCTTGGCTTTGTGGAATGCAGAACTTAGGAGTGATGAACAAGGATATCTGGTGGAAGAAATATCTAAGCAACAAAGCATTTAAACTTTTAAAATGGCTGCTTTTAACCACATACAGAGAGATGTGAGAGGAAATAAATGAGACAAAGACACAATTTATAATCAAAAGGGAAGCAGATTGGAAAGATTTGGAAAATTCACAGCCTGGCAAAGTAGAATGATAAGGAGTCTTTAGGAGAGTGAAACAATGGTGTGGCCAGGAAATACTTTGCTAAAGAGATTACCATGGCTAGAAGAGAGCCAGGTGCTATTCATATAGACAATGGGAGAAAGACCTTGAAGGCATTTCAAAGACCCTTAAGGATGCTCCTTCCATTACAGGTCCAGAGCTCTAGGAGGGAAGAATTGTTTTTAGGGATGGGCCTGGGGCACCCTCCATGGGCTTGCTGCCAGGGCCTCCTTGAGAGTCTACTTCTTGCATTCTGGCACAGTGCTTTCCAGCTGTCCTAGTTGTGGCTCAAGTAGGCACAGGTGTGGCTCAATACACTGCTCTAGAAGGTACATGCCATAAACCTTGGTGTCATCCATGTGATGTTAAGCTATGGAGAGTGTAGCTCTGTCTACCTCTATATCCAAGGATGTTGCAAATAGCCTAGTTGCCCAGGCAGCAACCTGCTGCAGGTGCAGAGCTGTCACAGACAGTACTTATCAGTGTAAAGCCTAGTGAAACCATGGTATGGGGCCATCCTCAAGATCACAGAACTGTAGGGCCACCAGCATCCAACTCAAGCATGAGAGAGCTGCAGGCATGAGGCTCTAATCCAAGAGCACTGACGTGTGGGCTGAGCCCAGCAACGCCATAGGGGCAGGACTGCCTGAGGCCTTGGGGGCCCAATATCCACACCAGTGTGCCCTGGATGTGGGGCATGTAGTCAATGGAGGTTATTCTTCAGCTTTAAAATTTAATGTTGTTTGCCCTGTTGAGTTTTGTTCCTACATGGACATTGTTACCCTTTTATTCTTGCCTGTCTTTCATTTTTGGAATGGGAATGTCTATCCTATGCCTTTTCCACCATTGTATTTTGTAAGTAGATAACTTGCTTCGATTTGACAGGCTCACAGTTAGAGGGAATTTGCCTCAGGAAGAATCATGCCTTGAGTCTCACCCATATTTGATTTCTATGAGACTTTAGACCATGGACTTTTGAGTTTGTGCTTGAACTGGTTAAGACTTTGGGGCTATTGAGACAGAATAAATGTATTTTGTATGTGCAAAGGAAATGAGATTTGGGGTGCCAGCAGATGAATGCTATGGTTTGAATGTCCCCTTTAAAACTCATGTTGAAATTTAATTGTCGTTATAACAGTGTTAAGAGCGGGGACCATTAAGAGGTGATTAGTCATGAAAGTTCTGTCCTCATGAATCATTTAATGCTGTTATTGTGGAGTGAATTAGTTATTGTGGGATTTTGGTTCTTTGTTTCCCTCTATTTCACATGTTCTCTTGCCCTTCTGCCTTTTGTTGTGGAATTATCCTCACCAGATGTGGCATGTTCTTGGACTTTGCAGCCTACAGAACTGTTGAGCCAAATAAGGTGTTTTTTTTTCTTATAAACTACCTAGTCTGTGGTATTCTGTTATAGCAGAAGAAGATAAACTAAGACATTTAGCAAACTGTTAGGGTAGCATAATGGTCTAGGATATAGGTATTTTTTCCAGGTTGCTTAGGTTTTAAGCCCAGCTCTTACACGTAGTTCCTGTGAGACAAGAACAAATTACTTAATCAATCTGTACTCCAGTTTCTGATAAAATGGGAATATGTAGCTCATAGGGTTGTTGCGAAGATTAAATGAGCTAAATTTATAAAACACTTTGAATAATGTTTGGTAATGTTACATACTATAAAATATTAGATGTTGTTATTACTGTTTCTTATTACTGCGTTCTCAGAGAAGCCTTCCTATAACTGTCCAGATACTTTTTCTTACAGTAACCATCAGATCACAGATGGGATAGCTCCCCAACTGCAGTGGAAGGGACTGGAGCTGAGACTAATCCCTCTCAGGATTTGCTGTGGGATATAGGCTAGAGAACCTGGTCTTGTTGACTTTGAGAGGCATGTCTCCTCGCAAGTCCCTGCACAGATGGGATAGTTTTCTCATTATAGCAGGGGAGCTGGATCTGGGACTGGGCCCTCTTGGGATCTCCTGTGGGACAGAGGCTGGGGAGCCCATCTCTTTAGTCCATACAGATACATGTGTTGTAGCAGGTCTTAGCGCAGATGGAATAGTTCCTCAACCACAGCAAGAAGAACCAAAGCTGAGACTTAGCCCCTCAGGATCTGCTGTGACAGAAGTTGGCATGCCAGTCAGGGAATCTCATACTCCTGGGCTGTAAAATACAGGTCCCTGTGCAAGCAGTTGTGAGCTGGGACCTCAGGTGAGGAAGGCTGGAGCCAAAGCACAGGCAACTTTAAGATTCACTGCCAAGACCAATGTAAGGGGGTAGGTGAGCCTTTTCACCAGTGCACTATTGTGTGTGATTCCTTTTGGACCCCGTGGCAGATGGTTTTGGTTGCAGGCTCAAGGCCAAATGGGACTGTAGCCAAGCCTCTTAGGGGACTGGGACTTTTCCAGGCTTGAACCAGCAAGCACACTCTGTGGGGCAGATCAGCCACCTGGGCATCAGTTTACACTCTGAAAATGACCCTCCTAGGTTTTGGGCTCCACTAGGGGTTTCACAAAATCCTGCCTCAATCCTGTGGCTCCCATAAAAAGACTTTAGACTGACAGTGGGGTTACCTTCTATTTTGCTATCTTGGTGATGTCCCAAGTTTGTTGATTTGAAGTTCAGAGTAGTTTCCACTGAACCATTCAATGAGCATGATTTATATTGTATGTAGTATCTATATCCATAGAACTATCTTGCAATAATGACTATATGTGATTTTGAACTTGCCTGCCGTTTATTCCACCATCTGTAGGAGTGAAGAGGTGGTGCTAGAGCTCAGTGTGCTTCTCACAAGATTTCCACCATTTCTTCCTCTCAACAATCACAGAAATAATGTATTTCTTATTTTTCTATTTATTTCAGTTACAAAAGGCTCGCGAGTCCAGCTCATTATTTTTAATCCGGACTCTCATTTCTTTATGGCACTATACAACCCCACTCCCACATTCCATCCACCCCTGTATAACTGCCCAGAATAGTCTACTATGTCCTCTGGAACTCATGGTTTATCATCAGCAAAATCTATAATCTCAATCTCAACTCTGAACCTCCCTTCCACAAGTTTACTGTAATTGAAAACTAGATATCCTTTGAAAAGTTTCCCCTACATTCAAAAGGTTGGTTTTCTTTTTTGTTTTTTTGAGATGGAGTCTCGCTCTGTTGCCCAGCCTGGAGGGAAGTGGCATGATCGCAGCTCACTGCAACCTCCATCTCCTAGGTTCAAGCAATTCTTCTGTCTCAGCCTCCTGAGTAGCTGGGACTACAGACGCATGCCGCCGTGCCCGGCTAATTTTTTGTATTTTAGTAAAGACGGGTTTTCACCGTGTTGCCTAGGCTGGTCTCAAACCCCTGAGCTCAGGCAATCTGCCCGCCTCGGCCTCCCAAAGTGCTGGGATTACAGGCGTGAGCCACCGTGCCTGGCGCGGTTTTCTTTCTTTTTTCTTTTTCTTTTTTTTTTTATTCTTCATTCATCTCATTGTCACTTCCAGATAATTGTTCTAAACTCCTTCCCATAAAAATTTATCTTTCAAGGTTCTGATATTGGATTATACCACCTGACGCCTCTCCTTCTAACATACTCTTCCATCATTTGCTCCATTTCTCTATTCTCCTTTACAGCAAAACTTCCCCCAAAAGAGTTTACTGTACTTGATATTACCACTTGTCCTCCTTTCTCTTTTGAACCTGCTCCAATCAGGCTTTCATTGCCCACTACTCCACTGAAGCTCTTGTCAAGGTCATCAGTGACCTCCAGTTTACCAAATGCAATAGTCAGTTTTTCTCATTCTTCATTTTCTTGACCTTGGCAGGATTTGACACAGTTGATTATGTCCTCTACCTTTTTGAAACTGTTTCATCTCTTAGCTTCTGAGACCACTCTCTTGGCTCTCCTCCTAACTCATTGTTGTTGTTGTTGATGTTTCACTTGTTTGTTTCTCATTTTCCTGAACCTTAAACCTTTGAAATACCTCAGGATTTAGTACTCTAGAAAATTTTCCTATCTACTGGTTCCCTATGTCATCTTATTCAGTTTAGTTCCTTTAAGTATTATCTAAATGTGGATGGCTCCCACCTTTATACCTTAAGCCTCGACATCTCTACTGAATTCCATACTTGTGTATGAAACTCTCAACTTAATATCTTTACTTGGATATCTAATAGGCTTCCCAAACATATATGCCCAGACATAAACTTTTGATTTTCTCCCCTTTCAAATCTGTTTCTCAATAGACAAAAGCTCAATTCTTCATGCTCTTCAAGCCAGAAACCTTGAAGTTATTCTTAAATCCTCTCTTTCTCTAGCAATCTATATCAGATTCATTAGCAAATGTAAATCCTGATGAATGAGTCCTGATGTTTTCCTTGCTTCCACTTTTCTACCCCTACAGTTAGTTTTTCAGGTAGTAGCCAGAGTGATTCTTTAAAAATATATGTCATCTCAAAATCTTCTGATTACATCTCATCTGCTTTAGACTAAAAACCTAAGTTTTTACACTGATCCTTAAGGTCCTTCATGATCCCCTACCTCTCCAATACCCACTTCTGTCTTCATTGCTAACTCTGTTCAGACCATACTGGTGTCCTTGTCTTTACTGACTGTGCTGAACACTCTCACCTCAGGATATATGCTTTTGCTGTTCCTTCTTCTTGGAACACATTTTCTTCAGTTATCCACATGGCTTACGTCCCCTTACTTTCTTCAGGTTTCTACTCAAATCACCCTCAAAGGAGATCTTTTCTGACCACCCTATTTAAAATAGCAACCCATTTCTAACCCTCTATCTCCTTTACTTGCAAAGAAACATATAATATACTTATGTATATATGTGGGTATGTATATGTGTGTGTGTGTATGAATGTATATATTTAACAAGCTCTTACATAACTCTTACCATATGCCAGATACTTCAAAAATTACAAATATTATTTATTCTTTATAACACCCATAAGGCATAGGGAAGTAAGTACTATTATTATTGTTATTTTACAGATGGAGAAACTGAGGTACAGTGCAGTTAAGTACCTTTTCCAAGGTCAAACAGTTGGTAGTGGCATACCTGAGATTGGAAGTTAGGCCATCTTCTTCTATTGTGTACTTAACTATATTATGCCCTATTGTCTCTTAGATAGGGTTCAGTATGCATATGTATATGTATAAATAGCAATTGTCAGTGATGAAATTCACTAGCAGTAACAAGATAAAAAGAGTATAGCCTTTAAAATTCATTCATGAAGTATTATTAATGGATATTGACTATTGTAATAACAAGATAATTATCTTGTAATATCAGTTAGTAGTCTGATAAGCAAATGGCTATTATTTCTCAGTTTGAGACCCACCCCCTTTTTTATTTGATACAGGGTCTCATTCTGTCACCCAGGCTGGTCTTGACCTCCTGGGTTCAAGCAATTCTCCCACATTAGCCTCCCAAGTAGCTAGGACTACAGGCACTTGCAACCATGCCCAGTGTATTAGGCCATTCCTGTGTTCTTATGGAGAAACATCTAAGCATGGGTAATTTATAAAGAAAAAAGGTTTAATTGGCTCACGGTTCTGCAGACAGTACAGGAAGTGTAATGTTGGCATCTGCTTCTGGTGAGGGACTCAGGAAGCTCACAATCATGGCAGAAGGCAAAGTGGGAGCAAGCATGTCACATGGAACAATAGAGAGGAAGGGGGAGGAGGGTGCCGAGTACTTTTAAACAGCCAGATCTTGCAATAACTCACTCACTATTGTGAAGACAGCACCAAGAAGAAGGTGATAAACTTTTCACGAGAAATCTTCCCCCATGATCCAGTCACTTCCCACTAGGCCCCAACTCCAACATGAGATTATAGTTCAACATGAGATTTAGAGGGGACAACATCCAAACTGTATCACCTGGCTAATTAAAAAAAGCTTAGAGAGATGAGGTCTCATTTATTTTGCCCAGGCTGGTCTTGAACTCCTGAGCTCAAGGAATCCTCCAGCTTTGAATCTTCTAAAGTCCTAGGATTACAGGCATGAGCCACCATGCCTGGCCTTGAGACACTTTCTTAACAAAGTTTTATTTATCTCAGCTGCACTACTAACTAGTTAAATGACGTATGACAAGTTACTTAATTTTTCTAATTCTCAGTATAATCTTTTTTTTTAATTAAAGACTTTATTTTTTGAGAGCAGTTTTAGGTTATCGCAAAATTAAAGGAAGAGATTTCTCACATACCCCCACCCCCACATGTACATAGCCTCTCCAATTATCAACATCCTCCAGAAAAGTGGTATTATTTGTTGTGTCAATGAACCTACATTGACACATTATTATCATACATTAGGATTAACTCTTGATTTTGTACAGTTTATGAGTTTGGGCAAATGTTTCATGACATGTGTTCATCATTATAATTATATACAGAGCATTTTTCACTGCCCTTGAAATCCTCTGTGCTCCATGTATTTATCTCTGTCTCTCAACCTCTAGCCCCTGGTAACCACTGATCTTTCTACTTTATAGTTTTTCCTTTTCCAGAATATCACATAGTTGGAATCATATAGCATGTAGGCTTTTCAGATTGGTTTCTTTCACTTAGAAATGTAATCAGTTTGCAAATTAAGATAATAATTCCTACCTAAGGGCATTTAATGAAATTTAATGGAAATAATATATATGAAAGCACAGTGCCTAGTACCAGCTGTCAGTTCATGTTAATTGATGTAATGAAGTATAAAGGAATAACTGTGGGAAAACCTGCACTCATTTTCCTACAGATAAAACTATATTCTTTTTGGAATAAGGACTGGTATACTTAATGTTTCTTTCAAATTTTACATTCTTGGATAGGAGGAACCCTTTAAAAATAAGATTAAAAGAAACTTAAGAAGTGAAGATATTGCTACTGTTCTTTATATAGCATCTATTATGGTGTCTTATACCAACTAGGCACTTAGTTAAGTTAAATGAATTACAACCTTTTGTATATTTGATCAAGTGCTTGTTTATAATTCAACTCATATGATATGAACTTTTATCACATCATTTGTGATTGTTTTGCTACAACTTAGAAAAGCTTCGGCATGGTCAGCATGGGCAGAAAGGCTTTTGCTGAAATAAACTTTATAGTTCTCATGAAAAGGGATTAGAAACTTATATTGACTTAAGTAGAAAAAATATATAATGGCCCATCTTATATTTAAACATGACCTTTTTCATGACCTTGTAAGAAAATGTGGATTTAAGGAAATTCCAAGACCAGAATTTCATACAGAGTGAAATAGTTCCTGGCAGGCTCTTTTTGCTATTGCCTGTGTCCTAAGCTTTCATGTGCTGGTGGAGGAAATTAAAGAATAGTCTGTACCAATTTAGAGGCAGAAAGTAGTATTTTCTTTCTTTACACGTTTACTTACATATGCAGTTTACACACACACACAAACACATACACATATATCACATCTTATTGTTGGAAATGGACTAGGTATATTTTTCAGTTAATTGTTAGTATATCTTGACAAATTTTTTTTAGCATTTGAGATATACTTTACACAAGTATGGAATTTTGCATTTATTGGCTGTTAGCCAATAATGGGGGTTGACATAAATATTGGGTATGCTTAGTAGGAAAGACAATTGGATTGGGTGATTTTTTTATTAAATCAGTCTCTCTGGCATTGAATAGTTGTGTAACTGGAAAAACTTATAACCACGAAAATATAAATTACTTATTCCGGTGATGGTCCTTAGTTTTTATATAAGTGCAAACTGAAGGAAAAGAGAGATTATCTCTAAGGGTTCTTCTGGTACGGTGAACTCTTTTAGCTTTACTGATATGTCTATTTTTGCATGTATAAATGATTACATGAGTTTATGCACATAAGATGTTTTTAAGTACAATAACTGCAATAAATTAATAAATACTATTTCCTAAATAGTTTGGAGAAAACTTTTTTCCACATAACAATGCTACTTAATTGGATAAGGATCAAGTTACACACACACACACACACACACACACACACACACAGAGTCCTGTTTCTCTTTATCTTAAAATGAGTAAATCCTGTCAAGATTTGAAATAATACTAGCAACAATGGCTACATAATCTGCTCAATACATTATATACATTATCTTAGTTAATTATTATAAAATCCTAGGGGGTAGGATTCTGAAAGCAAGCTCAAAATCATACTCATACTAAGGGAGAGAGTAGGGATTTAATACAGCTGTAAGTCTGTATTAAAGCTCTATTCTCTTAAATACATACAGACTCAAGAAGTAAGTGGTGTTATGAATCTATTATTTTAATATATACAGTTCATATATGCTTAATATATTTTTGAGGGTATGCTTAATTATTGGTCATATTAATAATTCTTACAACTGTAGTGTAATGTATTCCCTAACCCAAAATCTATCTGACTGTGGGCTAATTTTAGGATCTGTTGAAATTGGGGATACATCCTTTAACTTGGCCAGGCTATATTTTGATTCTCTTAATCACAGCGAATAGCCAAGTGATACAGACAAATAAGGAATGGTTCATAATCCTTTCATTCCTAATAAAATTTAATGCCCCCAAATATTTAGGTATCATCTATTCTGTTTTCAGCTTTCTGCTGCTGCTGACTTCCTTTCATAGTCTGAACTACCCTGGACCATAATCTGAACCATCCTGGACCAAGGGAAGGGTTTGACTTGCTTCATGTTGGTTGTGAACACAGAAGGGTTTTGCTTGTAACTCAAGCCAGGCCACCATAAGGGTAATCATGTGATTATTTCAGGGAAAAGACTTTTCATCTTGATCCCAGGGCAGAGACTACAGGCTGGTGATGAAATGTATTTATGATCTCCCTATGCTTTAATCCACCCATGTCAAGGCCCCAAACAACCTTACTCAGGATACATTGTATTAGATGTTAAACAAAAGGCAAATTTGTTTCTAAAAATATTAGAGAAACATTTGTGAAGCAGGGAGGATTCCTATATAAGTTATATATATTTTAAGAAAATTATATGTTATACTGTGAAGTGATGCCATGATGCTTTGCCTGAAAATAAATATCTTTTTCTAATTTTGTCAAATTTCTAATCATCACAAGAGGAATTCTGATAAATTTGCTTTGTCAAAATTGAATAATACTTCGTCATAAAACTCATGTTGTGTTCAGCAGAGAAAATTTTTTATAGGCATTGTTCTCTTTTTTTGTCACTCTTGAAATCTAATTGTCCAAAGGCCAACCCCACAGCTGTAATTTCATCATCTCTTTAGTGTCATTGTTGTTAACTTAGAATATTGCAGCCATGCTTGTCTTCTGCCTAATGTGGCATGAGAATAGCCTCTAGCAGCTCACTTGGTAGAACTTAAAGTTTTTCACAGTACAAAGTAGGCTGATTGTTTACCTTCTCTGTAAGAAATCAGTTTTATCTATAAAAATGCAATGTTCTTGAAAATCTCTGCAACTTTCAGAAATAGAACATATGATTTGATTATGCTATACATGGATGTGACCATTTTTTTTGACAACTGCTACAGGTACCATTGAAGGCAACCTAGTTTGGAGACAAATGCTATTGGAGTTTTCCAACTAACCCTTTTTAAAAGAGCTCATTTCTTATATGAGGATCTCCATAATTGGCCTTCATTTTGATGAAATGATTATTTTTCCCAGTTTATATGTTATTTTTGTACTGAGGTTGAATTTCAAAGATTCATGAAGTATTATTATCCAATGTCTCTGTCATCATGTTGCACCAACACTGGAAATTCAGGTGCCCTGGCATAGATCTAAAATGTATTTTTGAGTTTAAATATGCCCCTTAACTTCTCTTAGGTGAGCCTCAGCTTCATCACCTATAACATTGTATAGGATGTTGGTGGCCAAATAAGCTCTAAGACCCTTCAAGGTCTAAAGTTGTATAATTGTGTTTTTAGGGATAAGTTTATGGAATAAACTTAATTTATATTTCCCTAAGGTGAAGAAAAGTATCCATATGAATGGATTTAGTATGATACAGTGGAAAGAGCAGGAGTATTTGAAATCAGATCTGAGTTGAATTTAGTAGCTGTATGATGTTAGCATCTATCAGAGTGGCTGATGGTGAAAATTTAATACATATTTCCTTAATGAATAAATGTATCCATTGTCTGCTCCCTGCCACCATGCCTACCTTTTATGTATGGAAGTTATTTGATAATCATTTGTTACAGATTCTAGAAGTATATTGCACACATTGTTTCCCTCTTATTTCTTTACCTTCTGGAGTGTTCTCAGTGCTTGAGACTGCTAATCAGACCCTATATAGAATCCAGTTCATTGGCCTGGCATTCTGAACTGACAGCACCATACCTTTGCAGCTTTGTTCCTTCAGCCTACATACTTCAGCTCTACTTTTCCACTTTGTTTTATTTATCACTATAATTATTATAAGAATGAGTATTTCTTGAACACCAAATATGGACAGTTATTTGCCAATATCTGTAATAGATATTTCATCTATTATTCATTTAATTCTTATAGAAATCTATGGGATAGGTAATATTAACCCCTGTTTTACAGTTGGCAGAAACTGTGGCTAAAAGAGCTTAGGTAACTTTCTGAAGTTCATACAATTATTATTATTATTTTTTATAATAACTTTTAGGTTCAGGAGTACACGTGCAGACTTGTTATATAGGTAAACTGTGTGTAACAGGGGTTCGGTGTACAGATTATTTCATCACCTAGATAATAAGCATAGTACCCAATAGGTATTTTTTCTGATCCTCTCCCTCCTCCTACCCTCCACCCTCAAGTGGGCTCTGGTGTCTATTGTTCTCCTCTTTATGTCCATGTGTTCTTGTTGTTTAGACCCCACTTATAAGCGAGAACATGCAGTATTTGGTTTTCTGTTTCTGTGTTCCTGTGTTAGTTTGCTTAGGATAATGATCTCCAGCGCCATCCATGTTGTTGCAAAGGATATAATCTCATTCTTTTTTATGGCTAGGTAGTATTCCCTGGTATATATGTACCACCTTTTCTTTATCCACTCTACCATTGATGGACATTTAGGTTGATTCTATGTCTTTGCTATTGTGAATAGTGTTTCCATGAACATACATGTGTCTTTATGGTGGAGTGATTTATATTCCTTTGAGTATATACCCAATAATGGGATTACTGGGTTGAATGGTAACTCTGTTTCAAGTTCTTTGAGGAATCACCACACTGCATTCCACAATGGCTGAACTAACTTACATTTCCACTGCTGTGAGTAAGCATTTCTTTTTCTCCACAACCTTGCAAACATGTTATTTTTAATTTTTAAAAATAATAGCCATTCTGACTGGTGTGAGATGGTATCTCTTTGTGGTTTTTGATTTGCATTTCTCTGGTTTGTTTGTTTGTTTGTTTTTTGAGACAGAGTCTCGCTCTGTTGCCCAGGCTGGAGTGTAGTGACATGATCTCAGCTCACTGCAACCTCCATCTCCCGGGCTCAAGAAATTCTCCTGCCTCAACCTCCTGAGTAGCTTGGATTACAGGCGTGTGCCACCACGCCCAGCTAATTTTTGTATTTTTAGTAGAGACAGGGTTTCACCATGTTGGCCAGGCTGATCTTGAACTCCTGACCTCGTGATCTGCCCATCTTGGCCTCCCAAAGTGCTGAGATTACAGGCGTGAGCCACCACACCCGGCCTGATTTGCATTTCTCTAATGATTAGTAATGTTGAGCATTTTTTCATATGCTTGTAGGCTGCATGTATGTATTCTTTTGAAAAGTGTTCATATCCTTTGCCCAGTTTTTAATGGGGTTGTTTGTATTTTGCTTGTGAATTTCTTTAAGGTCCTTATAGATTCTGGATATCAGACTTTTGTCAGATGCATAGTTTACAAGTATTTTCTTCCATTCTCTAGGTTCTCTGATTGTTGATAGTTTCTTTTGCTGTGCAGAAGCTCTTTAGTTTAATTAGGCACCACTTGTTAATTTTTGGTTTTGTTGCAGTTTCTTTTGGCATCTTTGTCATGAAATCCTTGTCAGGTTCTGTGTCCAGAATGGTATTTCCTAGTTTATTTCCCAGGGTTTTTATAGTTTTGGTTTTATATTTAAGTCTTTGATCCATCTTGTGTTAATTTTTGCATTTGGTGTAAGGAAGGGGTCCAGTTTCAGTCTTCTGAATATGGCTAGCCAGTTATCACAGCACCACTTATTGAAAAGGGAGTCCTTTCCTTGTTGTTTATGTTTGTCAAGTTTGTCAAGGATCAGATGGCTGTAAGTATGAGGGATTATTTCTGGGTTCTGTATTCTGTTCCTTTGGTCTATGTGTCTGTTTTTGTACCAGTACAGTGCTGTTTTGGTTACTGTGGCCTTGAAATATAGTTTGAAGTTGGATAATGTGATGCCTCCAGCTTTGTTCTTTTTGCATAGGATTGCCTTGGCTATTTGGATTCTTTTTTGGTTCCATATGAATTTTGAGATAGTTTTTCTCATTCTGTGAATAATGTCATTGCTAGATTGATAGGAATAACATTGAATCTGTAAATTGCTTTGGTCAGTATTGTCATTTTAACCATATTGATTCCTCCTTTCCATGAGCATGGAATGTTTTTCCATTTGCTTGTGTCTTCTCTAATTTGATCAGTGTTTTGTAATTCTTATTGTAGAGATCTTTCACCTTGCTGGTTAGCTGTATTCCTATGTATTTTATTCTTTTTTTGTGACAATGTGAGTGGGATTTCATTCCTCATTTGGCTTTCAGCTTGGATGTTGTTGGTGTATAGGAATGCCAGTGATTTTTGTATATTGTTTTTGCATTCTCAAACTTTGCTGAAGTTGTTTATCAGACCAAGGAGCTTTTGGACATAAGCTGTTGGGTTTTCTAGATATGGAATCATGTTATCTGCAAACAGGGATAGTTTGACTTCCTCTCTTCCTATTTGGATGACTCTTATTTCTTTCTCTTGCCTGATTGCTCTGGCCAGGGATTCCAGTACTATGGTGAATAAGAGTGGTGATAGAAGTCATCCTTGTCTTGTTCCACTGTTCAAGGTGGAATGCTTTCATCTTTATAGAGTGATAAAAGAAGAAAATTCAAACATGGGTCCTTTGACTCTGTGCTTAACTGTGTTAAAAGAAAGATTGCTTTGTAAACTTTGTTACACTACATCACTATAAGTCATTTTACATCATTATAAATGGTACCTATAAAAACAATAGCAGCAGTGGCAGCAACACTCTAAAAAAAGTATCTGTAATCCAAGGCTTCTTCAGGTTTGTACTATGCAGAATACTCTGCAGAGGTTACCTAAACATTTACATGTGTGTTTAAAAGAGAAGCTGTCAGCCTTTAATAGATAGTATATATCAGAGCAGTGTCTCTGCGATAGAATGTTATTCTTAGCTTGTTGAATCAGAGGAGTGTCCCAGGAGACCATAAGCACATTCTGACATAAGCTTTTGGCCTCCTGTTTCATCCTCTGGATCTGTTCTACTGCTTTTTGGGTATTAAAATGTGGCTTTAGGCATTAGTGTGATATTTGCTTCATCTCAGGTATAGGAAGAGTGTGGGGAAAATGAAGAACTTTGCCACCTTATTTCTTGACTTTATAAAACCTCTTGACAGCTGGGCTCAGTGGCTCATGCCTGTAATCCCAGCACTTTGGGAGGCTAAGGCCAGCAGATCACCTGAGGTCAGGAGTTCAAGACCAGCCTGACCAACGTGGAGAAACCCTGTCTCTACTAAAAATACAAAATTAGCCTGGCGTGGTGGTGCATGCCTGTAATCCCAGCTACTCAGGAGGTTGAGGCAGGAGAATCGCTTGAACCTGGGAGGCAGAGTTTGTGGTGAGCCGAGACTGCGCCATTGCACTCCAGCCTGGGCAACAAGAGCGAAACTCTGTCTCAAAAAATAAAAAAATAAAATTAATTAAAAAAAGAAACAACAACAACAGAAAAAACCCTCTTGACATTAGGAGACACTAGCTTCTACAGTTAGAAGCAATATGTGAAAGATTCACCAAGATAATAAGCCTGCTTAGTGTCACTCTATTTGATCTTGATAGAGTTGTTGGTTATTTCTTCAACCCATTCCTTCTACCCAATTATTGAGCAAACTTTTTTTTTTGAGATGGAGTCTTGCTCTGTCACCCAGGCTGGAGTGCAGTGGTACGATCTCGGCTCACCACAACCTCTGCCTCCTGGGTTCAAGTGATTCTCCAGCCTCAGCCTCCCCTGTAGCTGGGATTACAGGCATGTGCCACTAATGCTTAGCTAATTTTTGTATTTTTAGTAGAGATGGGGTTTCACCATGTTGGACAGGCTGGTCTGGAGCTGCTGACCTCAAGTGATCTGCTTGCCTCGGCCTCCCAAAGTGCTGGGATTCCATACATGAGCCACTGTGCCCAGCCTGAGCAAACATGTTTTATATACCTTTTATGTACGACACCAATTAAATAAACCAGGAGTCACAGTAAGTCCCATTTTACTCAAATCTGATTTAATTGGTTAGCTGTTTTGATTCTATAGGCAAAGAAAGCCGTCATTTAATATGATGTCCTTAGTTTTACAGATAAAGAAACAAGTCCATGTAGGTAGAATAATTAAGACCACATAGTAAGTGGCCCAGAAGGGATGTGAACCTAAGTTTTTGTTTTCTTTTTTTTTTTTGTGGATATATAGTAAGTGTCCTTTGATACAGGCATGTAAAGTGTAATAATCACAAAAGTGTATATTGTGTATCCATCACCTCAAGCATTTATCCTTTGTGTTATAAACAATTCAGTTATACTCATTTAGTTATTTTTAAATGTACAATTAAATTATTATTGACTATAATCACCCTGTTGTGCTAGTGAATATAGGTGTCTTATTCATTATTTTAATTTTTTTTTTATTTTTGTGGACACATAGTAGGTGTATATATTTATAGGTCACATGAGATATTTTGGTATAGGCATGCAATGTGTCATAATCATATCATGGAAAATTGGGTATTCATCCCCGCAAGCATTTATCCTTTGTATTACAAACAATCCAATTACACTCTTTTAGTTATTTTTAAATGTGCAATTAGATTATTATTGACTATAGTCCCTCTGTTGTACTACCAAATGTAAGGTCTTATTCTTTCTTCTACTATTTTTTTCTACTCACTAACCATCCCCACTTCCTCTTCACATCCACACTACTCTTTGTAGCCTCTGGTAACCATCCTTCTACTCTCTGTCTCCATGAGTTCAGTTTGGTATAATTTTTAGCTCCCACACACAAAAAATGAGAATGTAAGAAGTTTGTCTTTCTGTGCCTAGCTTACTTCACTTAACACAGTGACCTCTAGTTTCATCCATGTTGATGCAAATGACAGGATCTCATTCTTTTTTTATGGCTGGATAGTACTTTATTGTATATAAGTACCACTTTTTCTTTATCCATTCATCTATTTACAGGCACTTGAGTTGCTTCCAAATCTTGCCCAGGGTGAATAGTGTTGCAGTAAACATGGGTGTGCAGATATGCCTTTGATATACTGATTTTTTTTCCTTTGCGTATATGCCTAGCAGTGGGATTGTTGTATAAAATATGGTAGCTCTATTTTTAGATTTTTGAGGAACTTCAAAACTGTTCCCATAGCAGTTGTACTAATTTACATTCCCACCAACAGAATATGAGGGTTCTTTTTCTCTACATCCTCGCCGGTGTTTGTTATTGCCTGCCTTTGGATAAATGCCATTTTAACTGGGGTGAGATGATATCTCTTTATAGTTTTGACCTGCATTTCTCTGATGATCAATGAATTTGAGCACCTTTTCTTATGCCTACTTGTCATTTGTATGTCTTCTTTTGAGAATGTCTATTCAGGCCTTTTGCCCATTTTTAAATTGAATTACTAGCTCTTTTTCCCCCTGTAGAGTTTTGGAGCTCTTTCTACATTCTGATTATTAATCCCTTTTCACGTGGGTAATTTGCAAATATTTTCTCCCATTTAGTGGGTTATCTCTTCACTTTGTTGATTATTTCGTTTGCTGTGCAGAGACTTTTTAACTTGATGTGATCCCATTTGTTCATTTTTGCTTTGGTTACCTGTTCTTGTGGGGTATTGCTCAAGAAATCTTTGTCCAGTCCAATGTTCTGGAGAGTTTCCCCAGTGTTTCTGGTGGAGGTTCATAATTTCAAAGTCTTAGATTTAAGTGTTTAATCCATTTTGATTTGATTTTTGTACATGGAAAAAAAGAGGTGTATAGTTTCATTCTTCTGCATGTGGATATCCAGTTTACCATTTATTGAACAGACTGTCCTTTCCCTAATGTATGTTCTTTGCATCTTTGTTGAAAGTGAGTTCCTTGTAGATGTATGGATTTATTTCTGGGTTGTCTATTCTGCTCCATTTTTCTATGTTTTATGCTATTATCATGCTGTTTTTTATGCTATTATCATGCTGTTTGAGTTACTATCGCTCTGTAGTATAATTTGAAGTCAGGTAATGTGATTCCTCCAGTTTTGTTCTTTTTACTTAGGATAGCTTTGGGTCTTCTGAGTCTTTTGTGGCTCCATAGAAATTTTAGGATTTTTTTTATATGTTTGTGAAGAATGTCATTATATTTTGACAGGGATTGCATTGAATCTGTAGATTGCTTTGGGTAGTATGGACATTTTAATAATATTGATTCTTCCAATGCATGAACTTGTAATATTTTTCCACTTTTTTGTGTCCTCTTCAATTTTTTAAATCAATTTTTTATAGTTTTTATTTTAGAGATCTTTAATTTCTTTGGTTAGGTTAATTCTGACGTATATAATTTTATTTGTGGGTATTGTATATGGGATTAGTTTTTAAATTTCTCTTTCACATTGTTCACAGTTGGCATATAGAAATGTGATTTTTTTGTATGTTGATTGTGTATTCTGCAACTTTACTGAATTTATCAGTTCTAATAGTTTTCTGGTGGAGTCCTTAGGTTTTTTCAAGTGCAAGTTTATATCATCTACAAACAAGAACAATTTGATTTATTCCTTTCCAATGTAGATGACCTTTATGTCTGTCTGTTATTTGATTTCTCTAGTTAGGACTTCCAGTACTATGTTGAATAATACTGATGAAAGTGGGCATCCTTGTCTTGTTCCAGATCTTAGAGGATAGACTTTCAGTTTTTTTAAATTAAGTTTGATACTAGCTGTGGGTCTGTTGTATGTGGATTTTATTGTATTGAGGTATGTTCATTCCATGTCCAGTTTTTTTTTAGGGTTTTTATCATGAAGGGTTGCTGAATTTTATCAAATGCCTTTTCAGCATCAATTGAAATGATCATATGGTTTTTGTCCTTCATTCTGTTTATATGATGTATCACACTGATTGATTTGCATATGCTGAACCATCCTTGCTTCCCAGGGAGAAATCCTACTTGGTCATGCATGAGGAATGATCTTTTTAATGTGTTATTGAGTTTGGATTGCTAGTATTTTTTTTTTGAGAATTTTTGCATCAATTTTTGTTCAGTGATATTAGCATTTAGTTGTGTGTGTGTGTGTGTGTGTGTGTGTGTGTGTGTGTGTGTGTGTGTTTTCATGGGTCTGTTTCTGGTTTTGGTATCAGGGTACTACTGGCCTCATAGAATAAGTTTAGAAGTATTCTCTCCTCGTCTATTTTTTCAGAATAGTTTGTGTAGGATTGGTATTAGTGCTTTAAATATTTGGTAAAATTCATCAGTGAAGCCATCAGGTTTCAGCCTTTTCTTTGGTCAGAGACTTTTCCTTATAGTGTGAAATGCTTTGTTAAAATCTATTAGTTTCATGTTGTTTACAGTGCAGATTAAGTTTGAAGTTTCTTTGTTGATTTTCTGTCTGCATGATCTCTCTGATGCTGAAAGCAGGGTGTTTATGTCTCCAGCTATTATTTTATTGGGGTCTATATCTCTTTAGCTCTAATAATATTTGCTTTATATATCTGGGTTCTCCAATATTGGGTACATATATATTTACAATTGCTCTGTTCTCTTGCTGAATTGACCCCTTAATTACTGCATGATGACTTTCTTTGTCTTGTCTTACAGCTTTTGTCTTGAGATCTCTTTTGTCTGATGTAAGTACACCTACTCCTGCTCTATTTTGTTTCCATTTGCATAGAATGTCTTTTTGCATTCTTTCATTTTCAGTCTATGTGTGTCTTTATATGTGAAGTGTGTTTCTTGTAGGCAACAGATAGTTGGATCTCGTTTTTTTTTTTTTTTTACCCCATTCAGCCACTCTCTGTCTTTTCATTGAGGAGTTTAGTATATTTACATTTGATGTTATTATTGATAAATAAGGACTTGTGTTGCCATTTTGTTATTTGTTTTCTGGTTGTTTCGTGGTCTTCTTTTCCTTTCTTTTTCCTTGCTGTGTTTCTTTTCATGAAGGTGATTCTCTCTGGTGGTGTAATTTAATTTCTTGCTTTTGCATGTATGTTTTTATTATGTGTTTTTAGATTTGAGGTTGCCATGTGTCTTGTGAATACTATTTTAGAACACATTATTCTCAACTGATGACAACTTAATAGTGCTTGCATAAACAAACAAGCAAAAGGAAAACTAATAAAAACTCTACATTTCAACTTTATCTCCCTACTTTTTTAATTTTTAAAAAAGCTATATCTTATTGTACTATGTTTCTATTTATATCTTATTGTACTATTTATGTCTTGAAAAGTTGTTATATTTATTTTTGATTGGTTCATTGTTTAGTCTTTCTACTTAAGAAAAGAGTAACTTACACATTTACAATGTTATAACATTCTGTTTTCCTGTGTGCTTATGATTACCAATGTTATAATATTCTGTGGTTTCCTGTATACTTACGGTTACCTGTGATTTTTGTGCCTTCTGATGATTTCTTAGTGTTCATTAATGTCCCTTTCTTTATGATTGAAGAACTGCCTTTAGCATTTCTTATAGAACAGGTCTGGTGTTGAAATCTCTCAGTTTTTTTTTTTTTTTTTAAACTGGGAAAGTCTTCTTTTCCCAGGAGAGTATTTTTGCTAAATATACTATTCTAGGATAAAAGTTTTTTCTTTCAGCACGTTAAATATGTCATGCCACTGTCTCCTGGCCTGTAGGGCTTCCACTGAAATGTTGCTACCAGACATATTGGAACTCCATTGTATGTTATTTATTTCTTTTTTCTTGCTACTTTTGGGATCCTTTATTCGTGACCTTTGGGAGTTTGATTATTAATTGCCTTGGCATAGTCTTCTTTGAGCTAAATCTGCATGATGTTCTATAACCTGTACTTGAATATTGATATCTTTCTCTAGGTTTGGAAACTACTATTATTACTTTGAAAAAATTTTTACCCATCTCTCTCTCTTTTCATCTCCCCTTTAAGGCCAGTAAATCTTAGATTTGGCTGGTTGAGGCTACTGTCTACATCTTGTAGGAATACTTCATTGGTTTTTATTCTTTTTTCTTTTGTATCCTCTGACTGTGTGTTTTCAAATAGCCTGTCTTTGAGCTCACTAATTCTTTCTTCTACTTGATCAAGTCCTCTATTAAGAGTGTCTTTCGCATCCTTCAGTATGTCAATTGCATTTTTCAACTCCAGAATTTCTGCTTGAGTCCTTTTAATTATTTTAATCTCTTTGTTAAATTTATCTGATAGAATTCTGAATTCCTTCTCTTTATGATTTTGAACTTCTTCGAGTTTCCTTAAAACAGCTATTTTCCTCAAAACAGCTTTGAGTATCCTCAACAGCTATTATTAATTTTCTGTCTGAAAGGTCACATATCTCTGTTTCTTCAGAATTGATCCCTAGTGCCTTATTTAGTTCATTTGGTAGAGTCGTATTTTCCTTGATGTCCTTGATGCTTGTGTAGGTTCATTCATGTCCAGGCATTGAAGAGTTAGGTATTTAATGTACTCTTTGCAATCTAGGCTTATTCTATCTGTCCTTTTTTGGAAGGCTTTTTAGGTATTTGTAAGGACTTCAGTGTTGTGATCTAAGCTGTGTCTGCATTAGGAGGCACTCCCAGTCCAGTACTGCTGTGGTTCTTGCAGATTCATAGAGGTACTGCCTTGGTTGTGTTCAATAAGATTCAGACAATTCTCTGAATTAGCAGGCAGAGACTCTTGTTGTTTTCCCTTACTTTCTCCTAAACAAGCAGAGTCTGTCTCTTTGTGCTGTGCCATCTGGTGCTGGGTTTGGGCTGACATGAGCATCAGTGTGACTACTACCACTGGGAGTGTGCTGAGTGAGACCTAAAGCCAGCACAGCCCTGGGTCTTGCCCAAGGCCCACTGTAACTACTACCTGTCTACTGCCTATGTTCACTCAAAGCCCTAGGGCTGTATAATCAGCAGTTTGTGAAACCAGCCCAGCTTGTGTTCTCTCCTTCATGGCAGCAAGCTCCTCCAGGACCCAGGTGGGTCCTGAGATGCAGTCCGGGAGGCAGAGACTGGAGTCAAAAAACCTTAGAAATCTAACCGGTGCTCTCTACTGAGGCTGAGCTGGCTCTCAAACCATGAGACAGAGTCCTTCCCATGTTTTCCTCATTTTTCCACTGGTGGAGGAGCATCTCTTCTTGATTACCACTACCATAGCTCGCAGGGAGTACTGTCAGGCTATTGTCAATGTTCGCTTAAGGCCCAAGGGCTTTTCAGTCTGTTTATGGTGAATGCGGCCAGGCCTGGGACTCACCCTTTAGGGCAGTGGGCTACCTTCTGGCCCAGGACTGGTCCAGAAATGCCATCCAAGAGTCAAGGCCTAGAATTGGGTCCCTCAAGAGCCTACTTTGTGGTTTACTTTACTGTGGCCAAGCTGGTGTCTGATTTTTGGTTGTTATGAAGGTAGTTTTTTTGTGTAGATAGTTGTTAAATTTGGTGTTCCTGTGGAGAGAACAATCGGTGGAGCCTTTTATTTGGCCATCTTGCTCTGTCCTTCTGGTCCTGTGTTTTCTTAGTTCCAGATCAGGGCTTTTTCCAGTATACTCTGCTGCCTCTCAGCTATACTAAAAGATATAGCTGGGTATAACAATGGAAGCAAAGACATGACTTCATGGATTTTTGCACCTTCTTCCTTCCCTTCTAAGGATTGTTGATTTTCCATTTCTTTCACTTTGGTGGACCTGTTTCTTAGGGAGCTTCTTGACAACCCTGGCATGCCTCTAATGTATTTTATTTAGTGTCTCCTGGCTGGACTTCTATTTATACTATTTCTAAGACTGTGAAGAGTAGAACAAAACTGCAAAGTATTAGGAAAAGAGAAGAGAACAGGGACTGAAGTAGCTAAGAAAGGAGTAGTCAGTAGCAGACTACCATGAATAATGGGGTAAACTGGAAATAAGAGGTAAAGAAGAAAGGAGAATTTACTGAAGTTGAAAGGTAAGAGCAAGTATGAAACAGAAAAGTGTGAGGAATAGGTGACATCTAGTCTTCTCATCTACAAAATATGAATAATAATACTTATTCAGCTTATCTCATAGTATTTTTGTAAGGACTTCAGGGAGAAAAGGTTTTTGAAGCCTCTGAAGCAGAGTGTACCATTAAGGGGGTGATGCTTGATGAAGATGGTAATGGTTAAGCATGTGGTGTAAAGGAAAAGAAATGGTAGGGAGATAGAGCAAGCATAGAAGGTACAGTGATTGGCAAAAAGCATTGGTATTATAGAAGGGAACAGGTCAGGTATGTATGAAAAGATAAAATGAAGTACATACTAGGTAAAAAAATCAAATGGGATGCAATAATTTGCATGTGCTTAATTTAGCACACTAAGTAGAAGGAATGAATAATTTGGAGGTGCTACTTTACCATACTGTTTAATAGTGGGAATGATTGGAATTGAGGAGGGACCTTGTATCAGCCATTTGAGAGCTTATCAATATACTTTTTTTCCCTTAGCTTTAACAAGTCAGAGAAAGGCAGATAGATTTGATAGAGAATACATATTAAAATTGACAATTTTATAAATTGATAATATAGTTATTAAAAGATATTAATTGTCCTTACCAAACTCAAAGCAAGTACTTAGGTTGCCAGGTTGAGAAGATACTATTTGTTGGTGCTTCTGGTGAACTTCCAGGAAAGGAGACTGTTGGCATTTGTTGCTATCTTGTTCACTGATTGCAGTGTGTGTTTATTTGGCCATCATGCTCTGTCCCTCTGGTCCTTTGTTTTTTTAGTTCCAGATCAGGGCTTTTTCCAGTTTACCCTGCTGCCTCTCAGCTGCCGTCTTATCCAGCAAGTTGAAATTGAAATGTTTTGGAATGGATGATGTAGCTCTGAAGACAGGGGCTTAAACTTTAAGCTTTGTTTTTCACTTAGTCTCAAAGTGTTAAGTGAATACTCAATTCTTTGTAATGAAAGCAACATGGATAGTGGCATGGGAATGAATGGGGAGACCAGTATTACTGGATGGAGGAGAGTCTGCATTGTTAACTCCTCTTCATATTCTATGTTCTTGTCTTATCAATTCTGTTGAGGTTTCTGTACACCCTGATACATCTTTCTGCTAGCCTTTGGATTGCAAGTTCATTAGCCTAGACCACTTTCTCTTCTTCACCAACGTAATTTTTACTCACCTTTCGGGGTTTATATCAGGTTTCACTTTCAAGCACCCTTCTTTGACTTACTAGGTTAGGATGCCTCAACCTTGGACTATTGACATTTTGAGCCAGATAATTCTTTGTTGTGGGGTTATTTCTGTGCATTATAGGTTATTGATCAACATCTGTGGCCTCTACCATCTAGATGCCACTAGCACCTCCTACAGTTGTGACAAATGAAAATGTCTGTAGTCATTGTTAAACATCCCTTGAGCAGCAAAATTGCCCAGGGTTGAGAATCACTGATACAGATGAAGAAATTAGAACTTTCCTTACACATCTTCATTCCATTTCAGTGATATTTTGGGAGGAGGGAAGTTAACTTGCTCACTTATTTTTTTCCATTTTGCATCAGAAGTGTACAATTAAAGGCAATGGAATAGTGCTCTCAATTTCTTTTAGTTCTTTCTGTTCCTTGAATGTTACAAGTTTGCTTCTTCTTCAGCATCTTTACACTTTTTCTTTCTTCTACCTCTGATGCTTTTTGCCTAGATCTTCACAGAAATTACTGTCTCCCTTAACTCAGGGGTCAAATAAAATGTCATTTCTTCAGAGAATTCTTCCCTACCATCTTATCTAAAGTAGTACCTCCTCTCTCAATCTCATTGTTTTATTTTTCTTCATAGCACATTTTACTACCTGTCATTTATATTTGTATTAATGTGCATGGGCTTACTGTTATGCCAGATGAACCCCAAATTTAATTGACTAAACAATAAAATCTATTTCTTACTCTGATCATAGTTTTGGGCTTACTAGAGAGTCATCTAGTCATTTAGGGAGTCAAGCTCTTTCTTATATATGCCTCCTCCATCTGCTAAGATCATGTTTTTCTGTTTTTGGCTGGTGAATTGGGAAAGAGTATGGAGGATTATGTTTGAAAGAAGGTCTGGAAATGAAATAATCTCTTTTTCCTACAGTTATATTGCCTAGAGTTCCGTCACATGACCTTATCTAAATGCAAGGGAGACTGGGAAATGCAGTCAGTTTATATACCCAGGAAAGAAGAGGAAGTGGGATTTGGTGGAATTATATATTTATAAATCTACCATAGTATTATTTACTTATATATTTATTAAGTATCTCTCCAACCAGAATATAAATTCCATAGAGGCAGAGATTTTGACTTTTTTTTTCTCCTCCATGTCGTAACAAATGCGTAGAACAATGTCTGGCAAATAAGTGGCACACAGTAATATTTGCTGCAAGGGCCCCTGAATGAGTGTTGTCTTTCTTATCTGCTGTTGTCTCCACACTTAGAACTTTTCTGAGTTGCAGTTGGCACTCAATTATTTATTGAAGGAATAAATGCATGAATGAGTCATGATTTTGAAATCAGAGCTGGATTTTAATTACAGCCTTTTCACTAATTCTGTGTGATATTGGGAAAGTTAACCGTTTAAGCCTCAATTTTTTCTTATCAGTAAAATAAAGGAATTAAGAACTATTCCCTAGGATTTTTCTGTTATGCAAAATAATGTATAAAATGCTTAGCCCAATGTCTCACACATTGTAAGTGCTCAAAAAGTAGTAGCTATTTTTGTTGTTTTTCACCAAATTCTACTTTGAATCCCGATTGATTCATTTTGCCTTCAGTGGTTCAATACGTGTAATTTTCACCTCTTTAAACTTATTGAAATGATATAAGCATAATCTGAGAGAGCTTCTACATTTGTATTCCTTAATTTAATCACTTATTCATCCATTCATTCAAGGTTTTATAACTTATCTATTCTATTTAAGACACTTTGTTCGGCAATGTGAGGAGACAAGAATAGTGTATTATCTGTTGTGAAGTTTAAATTTAGAAGATTAGAAAACCTGATTATTTCTTTTTTTTTTTGAGATGGAGCCTCACTGTGTCACCTAGGCTGGAGTGCAGTGGTGCGGTCTGGGCTCCCTGCAACCTCCACCTCCCAGGTTCAAGTGATTCTCCTGCATCAGCCTCCTGAGTAGCTGGGACTACAGGCATGTGCCACCACGCCCAGCTATTTTTTTTGTATTTTTAGTAGAGATGGGGTTTCACTTTGTTAGCCAGGATGGTCTCCATCTCCTGACCTTGTGACCCAACTGCCTCGGCCTCCCAAAGAGCTGGGATTATAGAAACCTGATTATTTCTATATTTAGGTTACATAGTCATGGATCAATTTTCCCACTCATATATTAGAAAATACAAAATATGTCATCACTTCAGTGAATTGAAAAAGAAAAAAAGTATTATTTTATTAGTCAGTTGATGAAAATGCTTATTTATTTATTTAAGACAGGGTCTTGCTCTGTCACTCCTGGCTGAAGTGAGGTGGTGTGGTGATAGCTCCCTGAATCCTTGAACTCCTGGGCTCAAGTGAACCTCCTGCCTCAGCTTCTGGAGTAGCTACGACTACAGATGGGTACCACCACACTTGGCTGATGAAAACATTAAAAGCAAAAGTTGTTCATCCTTCAGGAACTAACTCATTTTCCACCAACTACACGAGGTCTTTCCGATGAGTTCATCTCTAATCTTGTGTAGTATGTAGTTTGTTATTTAATTATTCTTTAATTGTTTAACAGTTATTAATTGTGAACAACTGTGAACAATTTAATTGTTTCACATATATTGATTGAATCTTCTCAACTTTAAAATAAGCATATTTAGAGCAGAAGCCATATACTTTATTTATTTTGTTTTTTGTTATTTTGTACTAGCTGAACATATAGTACATGCTTAGTAAGTTCTTTGAATCATAGACTTTTGTGGATACTACGAGGCCATCTTGTCCAACTTCCTATTCAAGGAAGATGCCATTTTACAGAAAACCCAAATATTGATCAGTCTCTGCTTTAACTGCCTCTCATGAAAAAGGAGAGCAATTTACTATGGTCTTATTTCACTGTTGGGTGGTTATGTTCATTAGATATTTATTTTTTCATCTATTGAGCTGAAATCTACCCATTGGTGGCTGTTATCCAATCTAATAGTGCAAGTCTGGTAGTCCCATCCTTCTTTTACTTGTTAACTCTTCAAATTTTTGAAGACAGTTGTAATGTATCCCTTTAGTTTAACTCTTATTTATTAATTAAATATTAGGAATAGCTACTCTGTAGTGGTTGTATAGACAAATTTGTTATTGTCACTAAGGTTTTTTCAGCTTTTTATTGGATATGAATCTCATATGACTCAATAGGTCATGATTCTTTCCCTATGTAAATACTGTAGTTAGTGTATTTCTTAAAATGTGATACCTGAAATGGACCAAAGTTCTTCAACTATGGTCTGATCAGTACATAGTGCATTAAAACTTATTCTACATGTTCAGAACTAACTTCTGTTAATGTTATGGTAAGTTGTGTTAATTTTTTATAATATTGATCAATTAAAACTTTGAGATTACTTTTTTCACATTTCTTTCCAGTAGGCTGGATCAATATTTGTGCAGTTGATTTCTTGCACAAGCTAAATGCAAGATCTGTGCATGATCTATGTTTATCTTTGTTAATTTTGGCTTAACATTTTTGTTTATGAAGGTAGTTTGAATCTGGAGTCTGACATCTATGCTTATGGCTAGCCTCCCGTCTGAAAATATCTGAAAAAATTATGTAACAAACACTTATTTTTTCTAAGTCTTAAATAAAAATGTTGAACCTGTTTGAGTGATCAATTTTTCCCAGGAAATGTGAGAATTTAATATTGCCATGTTTGAAGGTTGCAGTTTTTTATTTTTATCATCTTTTCTCTTATATTCACTTATTATCATTGATTAATTTGTAAGAGGAATGTATTCCTAAGAATGGGATGCAAGAATTAGGGGAATAACAACAACTAATTGTTCGGTACGCCATGCAGATATCTGTCATTTTCACCTCCACTGTTTTTGCTTTTGTTCAGACTCTCATAATCTTTCATCTAGACTATTGTTTTGATCTCCCAACTGCATTTGCTGTCCAGTTTTATTGGACAATCTTAATTCTTCAATTAATTGTCCATTTTACTGCCAGAAGGGTCTTTCTATTGTACAAAGCAAATATTGAAAATACTCACTGCTTAAGATCCATTAATAATTTCAATTGTTTATGGCATAAATACACATTTTTATATACCCATATAAGCTTGTTTATAGTATGACTTCTATAAATTCTCCCAGCTGTTCTTTTGAATCTCCGGGCCTTTCATTTTAGAACAACTTATCTTTTCCAGATTCACAACTTCATACCTTGGCTGTCTTGTGGGTAGCTACTGAAGACTCAGTTTGTATCATGTTACCTTTTTTCTAAAAAAAACTATCTGGATTCTTCCTTCTCCCCTTCCTAACATAGGGAGTTTTTTTACCTCTTTGTTTAGATCTCCATTCTACAATGTGTATATATACACACACACATATATATACAATGTATATATATACACACAATGTATATATATATACATACACATATATATATATACAATGTATATATATACACACAATGTATATATATATATATATCACAAAATGTAAAGCACTTTATTACACTTGTTTACTCCACCTTCCTTGCCTATACTCCTTGAAGGATATCCTAAGTCTTATTCATATCTGGATCTCCAGCACTTATCACAACGCCTAGCACAGAGTGAGTACCTGGTAAATGCTGAGGGAGATTAATGAGACCACCAAATTCCTTTGATAGGCCACAATTTGGAGAACATTGTGCTGGAACTCTTTGAAAATTGAATCTGGCAGAAATAAATTAGGAAAACCAGCCAGATGTTGTTTTTAAGGGTTCTGTTTTTAGCATATAAATTAAAATTTCATTTAGAAGTGCAAGTCTAATTTGGGAACCAGAATGCAGTTGTAGAGCTTGACAAGATTACATATGTAAATTCTCCAAAGGCTGATCTGTCATTATGCCTTCCTGAAACAGTGCAGTCTGTATGGAAGGAGAATGGTCTCTGCTTCTGCATGACAGGGTGAACCATCCCAGACTTCTTGCTCCTCTAACACTCCTGCTTCCCTTATTTATTTACCACACTTCACCTACTGTGTTCAAGTCATCATCACAGAAGCAGCTTTATTTTTTCTCCTCTCTGTGAAAATACTCTGGGCTTTGAGCCCCAAGGCTAGATTGTACCACTGCCTTGCTTTATTTTTTTCAGGGATTGGTTTTTACTCTCTTTAGGATACAATCTAACCTTCTTAGCATATCATACAATGCCTTCCATGATCTAGCTACTTTTTCTCTCTCCAGACTCAGGTTAATACTTTGTTCCTCCGTGCATAATCTTCTTGGAACTCATTTTCACACATATTTGAGGTAGTTCAGGTGGCATGCTCTCCAGGAAGCCTTTTGTGAGGAAGGCATAGATGCTGCTTCTCTGAATATAGGTATCTCAATTAAAAGTATACAAAGAATATATAGTTATTTGCACTATGACTATCACATAAGTAGAAGGTTAGTGTTTAAGTGACTGGTTGGGAAGTGGACATTAAGGCATATGTAATTAACTATAATACAAAATAGAAAAAGGTGTAAGTGATTCCTGTGTAAGACCAAGGGAGGGAAATCACTTACTGTAAAAGGTTGGAAAATTGTATGCAAACTCCCCTTTCAGGGAAAAATGAGCCACTGTTTTTTTCCCCACAACTGTGCGATGAAAATAGAGAAGTCCAAGATCATCACTTGCTGAATTTGGTCTCATCCATGGTCATATGCCCCAAAAGTGGCCAACCAAGTATTCAGCCTTAGGTCCACATTTCTTCAAACTCTGTGTTACAAAACTATATTGTCTGTACTGAATTTTCCCTTCTTGAAGAAGTAGAACATTTTTTCATTATTTGTTTTATTGTTTTTAGTATAGTCCTTAACTAGATGGTCAACTTTTTGAGACTATAGTATTTGTTTGTATATCCTTATTCTTTTATTGAGTGATAGTTTGATATATAGCTTATGTGTCTTATATGTTCTCCTTAGTTCTGGGCACAAGACAGGGTGGGTGCAAAAATAGATCTTCAATACATATTTGGTAATTGAAACATCCTCTAATTGATTGTAGCTTAACAAACCAAGATGTCTTGTTTGTGTTGTAGACTATGTGACTAGGGAGAATTAGGGTATGTGTATTTGAGAAATTTTTTTTTTAATGTTTAGGGGTTTTTTTGGTGAGTTATTGCAGTATATCTTGTAGATAGATTTTCAATGAGAAGTAACATGGAAAGATTTTATAAAATGCTAGGAAGAAGCTATATAATGGGTACTAGTTCACTGAGACTAAAGTTTCCAAACATATAGATTATCTTCCCTAAAACATCCACAAGTAGAAATTTTAGATTTATCCTTTTGGCTGAGAATTTGTGGGTTACAACTCATCTTTAATGTAATTTTCTTTCAAAATTATGAAGCCCTGGAAATATGGCTTTATAATGGAACTTTTGACAGACTCATTTAACTACATGTCACTTATACATAGAGGTAATTTTTTACCTCTTCGAAGGTGTTTTAGCTTCTGAGGTGAAATACGTGTCATATAAAAAGGTCAGTTTTAATTAATAAGCTGTTTTCTTCACTTTGACCAATATGAACTGCTCATAATTTGTGTGAAGTAGTTTTCAATGTAAAAATGAAACAAATCGAGCTTTTTTCACATCCATCAGCAGCATAACCCATTTAAATATCAAAAATTTACACAGCCCTAAAGTCTATTTCTAGATGTTTCAGCAGGCCTATTTATAAGAGTGAAATGAGATTATAATTATATTATTTCACCAGGTACATGCTACATCTATAGATACACATTTTTCTTTGTTCCCTCTGCCCCAAAATATGTTCATAATTTTCTTGCTAAATATTCATTATTCATACATTATTTTTTAAAGGCTGTAGAACCAATGTCAGCAAGGCATATAATAATAATAACATTATTAGAATGAGACCTTTACTTCTGTAAAGATAAGCCACAATTATTTTATCCTCCATCTCTAACTTCCTTAAATTGAAAAAAACCATTGTGTTATTCTGTCTCTATGTTTGGGGACAAATATTTTGCATACTATATAAGGGTGTTTTAGTGTGTAATTTAACTGGATGCTACAGTATTCAGTGTTACTTTACATTACTTTTCACCAAGATATTCTTCATGGTTTCAATTTAAATTATTTCTTTCCTTTTCCAAATCTTTCTTTATACTTTATAGAACTGAATCTTTTATTCTTTTCACTAAATACATTTTCTTTAATATACAGGTGTCTTAATAATAGTAATGATAAGGATGATGACTAATAATAATAACCAACTACTTACTGAGTGAATACTATGTTCTAAGTAATTTACATGTGTTTTACATAACCTTCAGAACAATATTTTAAGGGAAATAAACAGACTCAAAGAGGTTAAATTACTTAACAAAGTATGTTATACTGCAGTATGTATCTGAAGTAGGTGGATTCAATCTTAAATCTATGTGACTGTGAAATCTGAATTCTTAGTAATTCATGCTGCCTTTGCTGAGTTTGGGGCATTTTAAAAGAAGAGTAAAGAGTTTGAATCTGAAAATATGGGTGAAACAACTATGTGGTTGAATATTAAAATGCACAGAAGTCAATAAATATAAAAGTTATTCCATAGCAACAATAACTCTGCCACCTTATTTTGTACTGCTGTAAATGTCATTATTTTTAATGGTTTTATGTGCATGTAGAATGTAATTGAGATATTATTTCTCTGAGAATAATAACTTTGTATTTCCTGCCTTGTACATTAAAATAATCAACCATTATATTGAATTAACACTGCAGGCTTAGTTTTTTTTCCTCTCCTTTTGTGTCTGTGTCAATACATGCATGTTTTGTAGTGTCTTGTTTTCTTTGACTACTTCATCTCATTATATTGTAATTGTTTATCTTAATACACTGTAAATGTAAATATCTGTTTGTTCTTTTGATGACTTAGAATACAACATGACCACTATGCTCTTAACAGATAAGCAAAAAAACAATAGTTAGTATTCAAATCAAATTAGGTCCTAAAAGTCCTTTTTTTGTTTTAGTAATTCAATGACTTTTTATAGATTACTGACATTGTGCCAAGCATTATGTCATACATAGGGTGGAGACAGGGAAAGTAGTGATAAAAAGAGATTAGACTCTTCTGATGAGAAACCATAATCACTAGAGGTAAAAAGATACACATAATTAAAAAGTAATAATTCTGTAAGAAAGGTATAAACAATGTTCTGTGGGAACACAGAGAAGCAATAATTATCTTTGCTTGGGGAAGTCAGATATGACTTCCCAGAGGAGATGACATTTTATGCACGTCTACAGGTTGGGTAGGACTTCTCCATAAGGAAAAACAAATATGCATATATCCAGGCAAATAGAAACCATAATAAAGAGTTCCAATATTTGTATTTGTGTGTGGAATCGCTATAAACATAACTGCTACAAATGTTGATTGATATGGTAGTGTTGTATTAATAAATCAAATATAATGAATGACAATGTATTTGGTGATATGATTTTCTAAAATGATGATATTTTTGGATAAAATTATGAACAAATTCACTATAACCTTTCCTTGGTTTACACCTTACTTGCATTCTTGGAAAAAAACAGTGTTTATTAAAGCCATGTTAAATTTTTTGCATGTACGTGTAGGCAGAGGTAGGTACTAAGCTCACATATTTATGAATAGGATTTTTGCATACCTGAATGTCTGGTGGGACATTTAGAAGTTGTATAGGACTCTCCACTAGCCTCCCTAATCTCCACCAACCAAATGCTATCAGTGCTCTTGCATCATTATTAAAACAAACAATGCCTCAACAAATTTCTAAAATGCAAACTGCTTACATTGATAACCACTTCAACAGAATAGTTAAAATAAGCAACTTCAGCAAGGTCTCAGGATACAAAATCAATGTACAAAAATCACAAGCATTCCTATACACCAATAACAGACAAACAGAGAGCCAAATCATGAGTGAACTCCCATTCACAATTGCTTCAAAGAGAATAAAATACCTAGGAATCCAACTTACAATGGATGTGAAGGACCTCTTCAAGGAGAACTACAAACCACTGCTCAATGAAATTAAAGAGGATACAAAGAAATGGAAGAACATTCCATGCTCATGGGTAGGAAGAATCAATATCGTGAAAATGGCCATACTGCCCAAGGTAATTTACAGATTCAATGCCATCCCCATCAAGCTACCAATGACTTTCTTCACAGAATTGGAAAAAACTACTTTAAAGTTCATATGGCACCAAAAAAGAGCCCACATCGCCAAGTCAATCCTAAGCCAAAAGAACAAAGCTGGAGGCATCACACTACCTGACTTCAAACTATACTACAAGGCTACAGTAACCAAAACAGCATGGTACTGGTACCAAAACAGAGATATAGATCAATGGAACAGAACAGAGCCCTCAGAAATAATGCCGCATATCTACAACTATCTGATCTTTGACAAACCTGAGAAAAACAAGCAATGGGGAAAGGATTCCCTATTTAATAAATGGTGCTTGGAAAACTGGCTAGCCATATGTAGAAAGCTGAAACTGGATCCCTTCCTTACACCTTATATGAAAATCAATTCAAGATGGATTAAAGACTTAAACGTTAGACCTAAAACCATAAAAACCCTAGAAGAAAACCTAGGTATTACCATTCAGGACATAGGCACAGGCAAGGACTTCATGTCCAAAACACCAAAAGCAATGGCAACCAAAGCCAAAATTGACAAATGGGATCTAATTAAACTAAAGAGCTTCTGCACAGCAAAAGAAACTACCATCAGAGTGAACAGGCAACCCACAAAATGGGAGAAAATTTTCGCAACCTACTCATCTGACAAAGGGCTAATATCCAGAATCTACAATGAACTCAAACAAATTTACAAGGAAAAAACAAACAACCCCATCAAAAAGTGGGCGAGGGACATGAACAGACACTTCTCAAAAGAAGACATTTATGCAGCCAAAAAACACATGAAAAAATGCTCATCATCACTGGCCATCAGAGAAATGCAAATCAAAACCGCAATGAGATATCATCTCACACCAGTTAGAATGGCAATCATTAAAAAGTCAGGAAACAACAGGTGCTGGAGAGGATGTGGAGAAATAGGAACACTTTTACACTGTTGGTGGGACTGTAAACTAGTTCAACCATTGTGGAAGTCAGTGTGGCGATTCCTCAGGGATCGAGAACTAGAAATACCATTTGACCCAGCCATCCCATTACTGGGTATATACCCAGAGGACTATAAATCATGCTGCTGTAAAGACAGATGCACACGTATGTATGGCGGCACTATTCACAATAGCAAAGACTTGGAACCAACCCAAATGTCCAACAATGATAGACTGGATTAAGAAAATGTGGCACATATACACCATGGAATACTATGCAGCCATAAAAAATGATGAGTTCATGTCCTTTGTAGGGACATAGATGAAATTGGAAATCATCAAGATGGCCAAATAGGAACAGCTCTGGTCTACAGCTCCCAGCGTGAGCGACGCAGAAGACGGGTGATTTCTGCATTTCCATCTGAGGTACCAGGTTCATCTCACTAGGGAGTGCCAGACAGTGGGCGCAGGCCAGTGGGTGCGCGCACTGTGCGCGAGCCTAAGCAGGGCAAGGCATTGCCTCACCTGGGAAGCACAAGGGGTCAGGTAGTTCCCTTTCCGAGTCAAAGAAAGGGGTGACGGACGCACCTGGAAAATCGGGTCACTCCCACCCGAATATTGTGCTTTTCAGACCGGCTTAAAAAACGGCGCACCACGAGACTATATCCCACACCTGGCTCGGAGGGCCCTACGCCCACGGAATCTCGCTGATTGCTAGCACAGCAGTCTGAGATCAAACTGCAAGGCGGCAGCAAGGCTGGGGGAGGGGCGCCCGCCATTGCCCAGGCTTGCTTAGGTAAACAAAGCAGCCGGGAAGCTCAAACTGGGTGGAGCCCACCACAGGTCAAGGAGGCTTGCCTGCCTCTGTAGGCTCCACCTCTGGGGGCAGGGCACAGACAAACAAAAAGACAGCAGTAACCTCTGCAGACTTAAATGTCCCTGTCTGACAGCTTTGAAGAGAGCAGTGGTTCTCCCAGCACGCAGCTGGAGATCTGAGAATGGGCAGACTGCCTCCTCAAGTGGGTCCCTGACCCCGACCCCCAAGCAGCCTAACTGGGAGGCACCCCCCAGCAGGGGCACACTGACACCTCACACAGCAGGGTATTCCAACAGACCTGCAGCTGAGGGTCCTGTCTGTTAGAAGGAAAACTAACAAACAGAAAGGACATCCACACTGAAAACCCATCTGTACATCACCATCATCAAAGACCAAAAGTAGATAAAACCACAAAGATGGGGAAAAAACAGAACAGAAAATCTGGAAACTCTAAAACGCAGAGCGCCTCTCCTCCTCCAAAGGAACGCAGTTCCTCACCAGCAACGGAACAAAGCTGGATGGAGAATGATTTTGACGAGCTGAGAGAGGAAGGCTTCAGACGATCAAATTACTCTGAGCTACGGGAGGACATTCAAACCAAAGGCAAAGAAGTTGAAGACTTTGAAAAAAATTTAGAGGAATGTATAACTAGAATAACCAATACAGAGAAGTGCTTAAAGGAGCTGATGGAGCTGAAAACCAAGGCTCGAGAACTACATGAAGAATGCAGAAGCCTCAGGAGCCGATGCGATCAACTGGAAGAAAGGGTATCAGCAATGGAAGATGAAATGAATGAAATGAAGCGAGAAGGGAAGTTTAGAGAAAAAAGAATAAAAAGAAATGAGCAAAGCCTCCAAGAAATATGGGACTATGTGAAAAGACCAAATCTACGTCTGATTGGTGTACCTGAAAGTGACGCGGAGAATGGAACCAAGTTGGAAAACACTCTGCAGGATATTATCCAGGAGAACTTCCCCAATCTAGCAAGGCAGGCCAACGTTCAGATTCAGGAAATACAGAGAACGCCATAAAGATACTCCTCGAGAAGAGCAACTCCAAGACACATAATTGTCAGATTCACCAAAGTTGCAATGAAGGAAAAAATGTTAAGGGCAGCCAGAGAGAAAGGTCGGGTTACCCTCAAAGGGAAGCCCATCAGACTAACAGCGGATCTCTCGGCAGAAACCCTACAAGCCAGAAGAGAGTGGGGGCCAATATTCAACATTCTTAAAGAAAATAATTTTCAACCCAGAATTTCATATCCAGCCAAACTAAGCTTCATAAGTGAAGGAGAAATAAAATACTTTACAGACAAGCAAATGCTGAGAGATTTTGTCACCACCAGGCCTGCCCTAAAAGAGCTCCTGAAGGAAGCGCTAAACATGGAAAGAAACAACCGGTACCAGCCACTGCAAAATCATGCCAAAATGTAAAGACCATCGAGACTAGGAAGAAACTGCATCAACTAATGAGCAAAATCACCAGCTAACATCATAATGACAGGATCAAATTCACACATAACAATATTAACTTTAAATGTAAATGGACTAAATTCTCCAATTAAAAGACACAGACTGGCAAGTTGGATAAAGAGTCAAGACCCATCAGTGTGCTGTATTCAGGAAACCCATCTCACGTGCAGAGACACACATAGGCTGAAAATAAAAGGATGGAGGAAGATCTACCAAGCAAATGGAAAACAAAAAAAGGCAGGGGTTGCAATCCTAGTCTCTGATAAAACAGACTTTAAACCAACAAAGATCAAAAGAGACAAAGAAGGCCATTACATAATGGTAAAGGGATCAATTCAACAAGAGGAGCTAACTATCCTAAATATATATGCACCCAATACAGGAGCACCCAGATTCATAAAGCAAGTCCTGAGTGACCTACAAAGAGACTTAGACTCCCACACATTAATAATGGGAGACTTTAACACCCCACTGTCAACATTAGACAGATCAACGAGACAGAAAGTCAACAACGATACCCAGGAATTGAACTCAGCTCTGCACCAAGTGGACCTAATAGACATCTACAGAACTCTCCACCCCAAATCAACAGAATATACATTTTTTTCAGCAGCACACCACACCTATTCCAAAATTGACCACATAGTTGGAGGTAAAGCACTCCTCAGCAAATGTAAAAGAACAGAAATTATAACAAACTATCTCTCAGACCACAGTGCAATCAAAGTAGAACTCAGAATTAAGAATCTCACTCAAAGCTGCTCAACTACATGGAAACTGAACAACCTGCTCCTGAATGACTACTGGGTACATAACGAAATGAAGGCAGAAATAAAGATGTTCTTTGAAACCAACGAGAACAAAGACACAACATACCAGAATCTCTGGGACACATTCAAAGCAGTGTGTAGAGGGAAATTTATAGCACTAAATGCCCACAAGAGAAAGCAGGAAAGATCCAAAATTGACACCCTAAGATCACAATTAAAAGAACTAGAAAAGCAAGAGCAAACACATTCAAAAGCTAGCAGAAGGCAAGAAATAACTAAAATCAGAGCAGAACTGAAGGAAATAGAGACACAAAAAACCCTTCAAAAAATCAGTGAATCCAGGAGCTGGTTTTTTGAAAGGATCAACAAAATTGATAGACCGCTAGCAAGACTAATAAAGAAGAAAAGAGAGAAGAATCAAAGAGACACAATAAAAAATGATAAAGGGGATATCACCACCGATCCCATAGAAATACAAACTACCATCAGAGAATACTACAAACACCTCTACACAAATAAACTAGAAAATCTAGAAGAAATGGATACATTCGTAGACACATACACTCTCCCAAGACTAAACCAGGAAGAAGTTGAATCTCTGAATAGACCAATAACAGGAGCTGAAATTGTGGCAATAATCAATAGTTTACCAACCAAAAAGAGTCCAGGACCAGATGGATTCACAGCCGAATTCTACCAGAGGTACAAGGAGGAACTGGTACCATTCCTTCTGAAACTATTCCAATCAATAGAAAAAGAGGGAATCCTCCCTAACTCATTTGATGAGGCCAGCATCATTCTGATACCAAAGTCGGGCAGAGACACAACCAAAAAAGAGAATTTTAGACCAATATCCTTGATGAACATCGATGCAAAAATCCTCAATAAAATACTGGCAAACCGAATCCAGCAGCCCATCAAAAAGCTTATCCACCATGATCAAGTGGGCTTCATCCCTGGGATGCAAGGCTGGTTCAATATACGCAAATCAATAAATGTAATCCAGCATATAAACAGAACCAAAGACAAAAACCACATGATTATCTCAATAGATGCAGAAAAAGCCTTTGACAGAATTCAACAACCCTTCAAGCTAAAAACTCTCAATAAATTAGGTATTGATGGGACGTATTTCAAAATAATAAGAGCTATCTATGACAAACCCACAGCCAATATCATACTGAATGGGCAAAAACTGGAAGCATTCCCTTTGAAAACCGGCACAAGACAGGGATGCCCTCTCTCACCACTCCTATTCAACATAGTGTTGGAAGTTCTGGCCAGGGCAATCACACAGGAGACGGAAATAAAGGGTATTCAATTAGGAAAAGAGGAAGTCAAATTGTCCCTGTTTGCAGACGACATGATTGTTTATCTAGAAAACCCCATCGTCTCAGCCCAAAATCTCCTTAAGCTGATAATCAACTTCAGCAAAGTCTCAGGATACAAAATCAATGTACAAAAATCACAAGCATTCCTATACACCAACAACAGACAAACAGAGAGCCAAATAATGAGTGAACTCCCATTCACAATTGCTTCAAAGAGAATAAAATACCTAGGAATCCAACTTACAAGGGATGTGAAGGACCTCTTCAAGGAGAACTACAAACCACTGGTCAAGGAAATAAAAGAGGATACAAACAAATGGAAGAACATTCCATGCTCATGGGTAGGAAGAATCAATATCGTGAAAATGGCCATACTGCCCAAGGTAATTTACAGATTCAATGCCATCCCCATCAAGCTACCAATGACTTTCTTCACAGAATTGGAAAAAACTACTTTAAAGTTCATATGGAACCAAAAAAGAGCCTGCATCGCCAAGTCAATCCTAAGCCAAAAGAACAAAGCTGGAGGCATCACACTACCTGACTTCAAACTATACTACAAGGCTACAGTAACCAAAACAGCATGGTACTGGTACCAAAACAGAGATATAGATCAATGGAACAGAACAGAGCCCTCAGAAATAACGCCACATACCTACAACTATCTGATCTTTGACAAACCTGAGAAAAACAAGCAATGGGGAAAGGATTCCCTATTTAATAAATGGTGCTGGGAAAACTGGCTAGCCATATGTAGAAAGCTGAAACTGGATCCCTTCCTTACACCTTATACAAAAATCAATTCAAGATGGATTAAAGATTTAAACGTTAGACCTAAAACCATAAAAACCCTAGAAGAAAACCTAGGCATTACCATTCAGGACATAGGCGTGGGCAAGGACTTCATGTCCAAAACACCAAAAGCAATGGCAACCAAAGCCAAAATTGACAAATGGGATCTAATTAAACTAAAGAGCTTCTGCACAGCAAAAGAAACTACCGTCAGAGTGAACAGGCAACCTACAACATGGGAGAAAATTTTCGCAACCTACTCATCTGACAAAGGGCTAATATCCAGAATCTACAATGAACTCAAACAAATTTACAAGGAAAAAACAAACAACCCCATCAAAAAGTGGGCGAGGGACATGAACAGACACTTCTCAAAAGAAGACATTTATGCAGCCAAAAAACACATGAAAAAATGCTCATCATCACTGGCCATCAGAGAAATGCAAATCAAAACCGCAATGAGATATCATCTCACACCAGTTAGAATGGCAATCATTAAAAAGTCAGGAAACAACAGGTGCTGGAGAGGATGTGGAGAAATAGGAACACTTTTACACTGTTGGTGGGACTGTAAACTAGTTCAACCATTGTGGAAGTCAGTGTGGCGATTCCTCAGGGATCTAGAACTAGAAATACCATTTGACCCAGCCATCCCATTACTGGGTATATACCCAAATGACTATAAATCATGCTGCTATAAAGACACATGTACACGTATGTTTATTGCGGCATTATTCACAATAGCAAAGACTTGGAACCAACCCAAATGTCCAACAATGATAGACTGGATTAAGAAAATGTGGCACATATACACCATAGAATACTATGCAGCCATAAAAAATGATGAGTTCATGTCCTTTGTAGGGACATGGATGAAATTGGAAACCATCATTCTCAGTAAACTATCGCAAGAACAAAAAACCAAACACCGCATATTCTCACTCATAGGTGGGAATTGAACAATGAGATCACATGGACACAGGAAGGGGAATATCACACTCTGGGGACTGTGGTGTGGAGGGGGGAGGGGGGAGGGATAGCATTGGGAGATATACCTAATGCTAGATGACGAGTTGGTGGGTGCAGCGCACCAGCATGGCATATGTATACATATGTAACTAACCTGCACAATGTGCACATGTACCCTAAAACTTAAAGTATAATTAAAAATAATAATAATAATAATAGTAATAATAAAAAAAAAGAAATTGGAAATCATCATTCTTAGTAAACTATCACAAGAACAAAAAAACCAAATACCACATATTCTCACTCATAGGTGGAAATTGAACAATGAGAATACATGGACACAGGAAGGGGAACATCACACTCTGGGGACTGTTGTGGGGTGGGGGGAGGGGGGAGGGATAGCATTGGGAGATATACCTAATGCTAGATGACAAGTTAGTGGGTGCAGCACACCAGCATGTCACATGTATACATATGTAACTAACCTGCACATTGTGCACATGTACCCTAAAACTTAAAGTATAATAATAGTAATAAAACAAAACAAAACAAAAAAATAATAGAAATAACAAAAATTGTTAGAGAAGTGGAGTGTGATGTACATGAACCATTTTCTTATTTTTTCTAGCAGAGTTTCAATACATGTTGTTTGATAATGATAAATTAAGATGTAGATGTGTAAAGTTACTCTGTAGAATAATACTTGAGCAACTAAGATGATTAAGAGCATTTGCATCTAGGGAATGAGAACAGGATTTTAAGGGATATGAGTCATAGGTAATTCTACTTTTTTCAATATTTATACTTTTAATTTTACATATAATAAGTAGACTTAATTCTATGACATTACAATGGATTATAGCCACTTTCCCTTTTAAGCATTGAAAGATAAACTTTATTGGGTTTTTTAGCATACAATTTAATGAATTCTGGAAAATATACACACTAATGTAACCTTCACTATAATCAAGATGTGTAACATTTTCATTACCCTAAGAAGTTCCCTTTTTTCTCCTCCCAGTTGACAACCTCCACTTCTTTTATGGTTTAGACTTTTTATATCTCATCTTAGAAATATTTGCCTACTCCAAGACTGCAAAGATATTTCTGTGCTAGAAGTTTTATAGTTTTAATAATAGGTCTATGATCAATTTCAAGTTGATTTTGTGTCAGGGACAGGATAAGGTTCATTTTTTTTTCTTAAAAAGATGTTCAGTTTTTCTAGCATTATTTGTAGTAAAAACATTATTTTCAGGTTAAATTACCATTGCAGCTTTGTTGGAGCTGCATATGGATGTATTTCTGGACTCTCTGTTCTGATCCACTGGTTTATGTCTACCCTGATGTCCATGCTATTTTTGGTGTCATTACAGTAAGTCTTGTTTTTATGTAGTGTAAATTCTCCATAATTTTCTTGTTTTTTGAAATTGTATTGGCTATTTTAGGTCCTTTGAGTTCCCATATAAATTTTACAATCAACTTGATTTCTACAAAAAAAATCTTGCTGGTATTTGTTTGTTTTGTTTTTTTCTCAATCAATTTAGATGTTTATTTTGCCAAGGTAAAGGGCACGCCTGGAAGAAATAAGCATGGAATCACAGAAACAGCCTGTGTTCTGTGCCTTTCTCCAAAGATGATTTTGAGGGCTTCAATATTTAAAGGGGAAAAGTGGGCTGGACAGGAAACAGGGAGGATATGGTAATCCACAGGTTGCAAGAGAAAAGGAGCAGGTAGGAGAATAGTCAATTATGTTTTTGTCTCACACTCAGTAAATCAGCACTTTACATAAGATAAGGTGAACATAGAGTAGCTACCTGTGGCAATATCTGACTTTTTATCTGTAGCTATCTGCTTAGGAACAAAAGGTAAGGCAGTTTATTGCATGACTCGGTTTTCAGCTTAATTTTTTTTTGTTTTGGCATAGTGAATTGAGGTCCCAAGTTTTTGTTTTCCTTTCACATTTCTCTCCTCTTTTCTTTTTAAAATCTCCCAGAGAAAGCATTTTGGAAGAAAATGAGTCTCTGGTATCAGATTTTGTCTGATCTCTCCTGGCTAGGACAGTTTATTCCTAGATAGATAGATCCCATGTTATTATAATTTTAGCAGGTTGTGAAGTCTCATGTACCCACAAAGAAAAAAGCAGGGAGAGGAAGAGAGAAAGAAAACAAGCAAACAAAAAGGGAGAACAATCCTGGAAACCTGATATAGGCCATATTACTCTGAAGTCCATACATCAGTAGGCAGGTATGAAAGTCAAAGTGATTTATATATATATATAAAATACATTGCTGTTATTTTCTTCTGAAATATAGCTTGTCTAGCTTCAATTCACAGGGCTTTTAGAAAAGCATATCTTAAAATGGGGAAAAAAGGGGAAAGAAAGAAAGAAAAATTTGAAAACATTATTTTGGAGACTTGTAGCCAGGAAAAATTTTAGAATTCATTTCAAATTGTAGAAAATAATAAAAATTGAAAAACATTAGGCAAGGCTAGAATCTAATAACAGGCATACTATAGTTTATTTTCAAACATTTTTTCTTTCCAATTCTCCAATTTTGTTAAAGACAAAATTATAGTAGTATCAATTTATTTGTCACATAAGTTTTAGTCCTATTATACTTGGCTTATTTGCATAAAAAGCAGCAAGAATAATAATTTGCCATATAGATTCTCTCTCTTTTGTTAAAATTGGCTTTGCTGGAACCTTTTTGATAAGGAACCTAAGACCTTTTAAAAAGCCTTGAGCCCAGCCAAGGATTTATCTGTGCCTGCAGATACCTGTGTGAATTGGGTGCATTTCTTTTGAGGTCCCAAGAAAACTTGCAGTTCCTGGACCTGTCAGAAAGTGACATTTTTTACTTAGCCACAAGTCAGGAACTTGTAAGGGACAAGAGATATGGCAAAGTTTTCTAAGGGGCTTTTATTTTTCCATGGATCAGCCTCATTGTTCTTAATGCCATTTGAAAATATGTCATTCCAGTCAAAATCTTGGTAAAATAACCAGTGTCTCCAATTATGCCCTATTATAAAAGAAAATAGGTTCTTATTGAACTTCTGTGAATAATTATATTGTTATAAATTAAGAATACTCACAAAATAGTTTATAAATTTTGGAGAAATTAGATCGAGAGAAAGGAATCATCTTTTAAATTTTGCTCATGAGAGTATACTCTATTGTTAAAGGCTGTAAATAGCTTAAAAAAATTTTCTTGACTCTGAAAGACAAAAAAAGAATTAGCAAATACTATAAACAAAAAAAATCACAAAATATTATTTTAATTTTCTGTTAATTCAGTTTGTGTAATTAACACCTCTTCTCAATATTGGATCAACAATCCTCATGAATGCATCAGCTCTTCATGAGAATCCTGGAAGTTTTTCTCTCTATTTCAATGGCATAGTCTCCAAAGTTATCAGAAACCTGTATTTAAGAGTGTTCCTCAGATTTCTAGAGCTGATTATAAACTCCTCTATACAAGGATCAAAGTAAAACAATTATGGATGACAAAAGTCTTAGAACAGCCATAATTAAAGACACAATTGACAAGGAAATTTGGTTCTGTGGAATACAACAATTTTACATCATAACCATAATTGCTACTGATAACATATGTTAGGACATAACAGAATCACAGGAATCTCATACAATTTTGAAACACATACTAATAACACATTTATATAAATATAATCCAAAGAAGGTTAAACAACATTTTACATTTGACAGTGCTTCCTATATGATTTTATTATACTGAAGAAGCTGAATATATCTATTTTGGACTTCAGGTGACTTAATGTCAAAAACTTAATGAGTACCAAAGGACTCAACATAGAATTAGATTTTGGAAAGTTTGTGAAATACCAAAACTTTAAAACACTTGATATAACAGAATAGGATCACAGGTCATTATATAATTAGTCATTCACTCAGCCAAAGTGATAACTCTAAGATTTCAACAAGAATTGCAAAAACATTTATTTTTTGTGAAAGGAGACTTGCTTTCCCAAACCAAAAGCCCTAATAAATACATCATGGGGCCAATTAAATCTGTCTCTCAAATCTTATATGCAAATTTATTAAATTTTAATAAATATGTTGACCATAAGATATAATTTTTATAAATTTTTAAATAATATTTTATAGCTTTTTAATTAAAGAATGGGTTAATGTTCCAAGAAAACCTTGTTAATCTAATACAGGGGCCCAGATGCTGGTATTGCTTAGTATGCCTTTGATATTAATGTTTGATTTACAGAGAAATTCTGAACTAATTTTAACTCCCACAATTGGCCCTCGCAATTTCACATGCCCGCCTCTTCCATGATAGTCCCTGGGCCTAGTGGGGTTGAATAGTTTTATTTTCTGGCCCCACGTCTCACAAATGCTGTTTATTTTGATTGTTATCTTCTTCTGTGTCCAAAGATGAGGCTTTATGAACTGTGTTGGCTGAACCATTTTATATCTTCATCAATAATGCACAAAGGTTCCAATATTTCAATTTCTCCACATGCTCATCAACATCTGTTATTTTGTTTGTTTAATTTTTTTTATAATAACCATCAGAGTGGGTGTGAAGTGGTAACTTATGTTGATTTTACTTGCATTTCCCTAATGACTAGTGTGGTTGAATATCTTTTCATGTGCTTAGCAACTATTTGTATATATTCTTTTGAGAAACACTTATTCAAATCTTTTGCCTTTTTTTGAATTGGCTTGCTTTTTGTTGTTGAAATCTGATAGTTCTTCTTTCTATTATTCAAAAAATTTTTAATTTTTAATTTTTAAGGGTACATTGTAGATATATATATTTATGGGGGCACACGAGATGTTTTGATACAGGCATGCAATGTGTAATAATCATATCATTGAGAATGAGGCACTCATCGCCTCAATCCATTTATCCTTTCTGTTACAAATAATCGAATTATACTCTTTTAGTTATTTAAAAATGTACAATTAAGTGATAGTTATTATTATTTTGTTGTTGATTTAAAGGTTAATATTTTTATTAAGTATTGTACAATTGTCCTCCACAAGTTCACTGTCAACATACCATTTCACTAACAGTGTGTGTCAATTCCATTTCTTTATATTCTCATTAATCCCAGTGATTTTCATTTAAAAACAAAAATTAAAACTATTTCATTGTGAATAGCCAAAAGATTGTGTTTTCATTAATAATCTTTAAAATTGTGTGATTTCCTATCCAGTTACATGATATTTCCTCATGGAATTCCTACCTAAAAGTCTTGCTTTTTAAAATTTATACATTATAGTTGTACATATTTATGAAGTACATGTGATATTTTGATACACATATGCAATATACAATGATCAAATCGGAATGTTTGGGATATCAATTACCTCAAACATTTATCATTTCATTTATTATGTTGGGAACATTCTAGATCTTCTTTTCTAGCTATTTGAAATATACAAGAAATTATTGTTAACTACAGTTGCCCTACCATGTTATCAAACACACTAGGTCAATGTGTATGTTTGCACTTATTAATTAACCTCTCTTCATCCCCTTATCCCCCTTCTCTTCCTGTTCTCTAGTAACTACCAATCCACTCTTTATCTTCGTAAGATCCACTTTATTTTATTTTATTTTAGTTCCAAGATACATGTGAAGATGTGCGGGTTTGTTATGTAGGTAAACGTGTGCCATGGTGGTTTGCTGCACCTATGAACCCATCACCTAGGTATTAAGCCCAGCATGCATTAGCTATTTATCTTGATGCTCTCCCTACCACTGTACTCAACTCCAGACAGGCCCCGGTGTGTGTTTTTCCTCTCCCTGTGTCCATTTGTTCTCATTGTTCAGCTTCCACTTGTAAGTGAGAACATGTGGTATTTAGTTTTCTGTTTCTGCATGGATTTGCTGAGGATAATGGCTTCCAGCTTCATCCTTGTGCCTGCAAAGGACATGATCTCATTCCTTTTTATGGCTGCATAGTATTCCATGGTGCATATGTACCACATTTTCTTTATCCAGTCTATCATTGATGGGCATTTGGGTTGATTACATGTCTTTGCCCTTGTGAATAGTGCTGCAATGAACATGCACATGAGTGTATCTTTATAATAGAATAAGTTATATTCCTTTGGGTATATACCCAGTAATGGCATTGCTGGATCAAATGGTATTTCTGGTTCTAGGTCTTTGAGGCATCACATTGTCTTCCACAAAGGTTAAACTAATTTACATTCCCACCAACAGTGTAAAAGTGTTCCTATTTATCCACAGCCTCACCAACATCTGTTGTTTCTTGACTTTTTAATAATCACCATTCTGACTGGCAGGAGATGGTATCTCATTGTGATTTTGATTTGCATTTCTCTAATGATCAGTGATGAGCTTTTTTTCCACATATTTGTTGGCTACATAAATGTCTTGAGAAGTGTCTGTCATGCCCTTTGCCCACTTTTTAATGGGATTGTTTGTTTTTCTTGTAAATTGTTTAATTTACTTATATATTCTGGGTATTAGATATTTGTCAGATGGAAAGATTGCAAAAATTTTCTCCCATTCTGTAGGTTGTCTCTTCATTCTGATGATAATTTGTTTCTTTTGCTATGCAGAAGCTCTTTAGTTTAATTAGATCCCATTCATCAGTTTTTGCTTTTGTTGCAATTGCTTTTGACGTTTTCATCATGAAATCTTTTTTCCTGCCTATGTCCTGAATGGTATTGCCTAGGTTTTCTTCTAGGGTTCTTATACTTTTGCGTTTTACATTTAAGTCTTTATCTTGAGTTATTTTTTGTATAAGGTGTAAGGTAGGAGTCCGGTTTCAATTTTCTGCATATGACTAGCCAGTTTTACTAGCACCATTTATTAAATGGGGCATCCTTTTCTCATTGCTTGTTTTTGTCAGGTTTGTCACAGATCAGATGGTTGTTGATGTGTGAATTCTCTATTCTGTGCCATTGGCCTGTTTTTGTACCAGTAGCATACTGTTTTGGTTACTTTAGCCTTGTAGTGTAGTCTGAAGTCAGGTAGCGTGATGCCTCCAGCCTTGTTTTCTTTGCTTAGGATTGTCTTGGCTATATGGGCCCTTTTTTTGGTTCCATGTGAATTTTAAAGTAGTTTTTTTCTAATTATGTGAAGAATGTTAATGGTAGTTTTAATGGGAATAGCACTGAATCTATAAATTACTTTGGGCAGTATGTTCATTTCCATGGTACTGATTCTTCCTATCCATGAGGATGAAATGTTTTTCCATTTTTTTGTATCCCCTCTTATTTCCTTGAGCAGTGGTTTGTAGTTCTCCTTGAAGAGGTCCTTCACATCCCTTGTAAGTTGTATTCCTAGGTATTTTATTCTCTTTGTAGCAATTGTGAATGGGAGTTCACTCATGATTTGGCTCTCTGTTTGTCTATTATTGGGTCTCTTGAATACAGCACACCAAAGAGTCTTGAGTCTATCCAGCTTGCCATTCTGTGTCTTTTAATTGGGGCATTTAGCCCACTTACATTTAAGGTTAATATTGCTATGTGTGAATTTGATCCTGTCATCATGATGATAGTTGGTTATTTTGCAGACTTATTTATGTAGTTGTTTCATAATGTTATTGGTTTTTGTACTTCAGTGTGTTTTTGTAGTGGCTGGTAATGGTATTTTCTTTCCATATTTAGTGCTTCCTTCAGGACCTCTTGCAAGGCAGACCTGGTGGCAATGAATTCCTTCAGCATTTGCTTGCTGAAAATGATTTTATTTCTCCTTCGTTTATGAAGCTTAGTTTGGCCAGATATGAAATTCTTGGTTGGAAACACCACATGTTCTCACTCATAGGTGGGAATTGAACAATAAGAACACTTGGACACAGGAAGGGGAACATTACACACCGGGGCCTGTTGTGGGGTGGGGGGAGGGGGAAGGGATAGCATTGGGAGATATACCTAATGTAAATGACAAGTTAATGGGTGCAGCACACCAACATGGCACATGTATACATATGTAACAAACCTGCATGTTGTGCACATGTACCCTAGAACTTAAAGTATAATAAACAAATATATATATATATAAATATATATATAAAAGAAGCCCAAAAGGAAGTTATAGTAAGAGTGGAAAGAGGAAATATGTATAGAAATCATGAAAATTAGTTTCCTGGAATTAAGGAAAGAGGACGAGCCACAGGTAAAAGAGTCCACGGATGCCAAAGAACAGAAACTACAGGAAAACTCGCTGGCAGACACCTAGGTGTGACACCCAAGGTCACAGACAGCATCCTAAAGGCTCTGGGGAAGACCTGGCCGCACCTCCCGGCAGGACAGGACTGACTGGGGCCTTTCAGCAGCAACACAGACAGGAAAGATGCTGATATTTTCAAAATCTAGAAGGAAACAACATTAAAGCCAGTCAGACCCTCACGTAAACAGAAAGGACGAGATTAAAATGTCCTCAGGCTTACAAGGCCTCAGGAGATTCACCACACAGAGACCCACGCCAAGAACATTTTTAGAGGACATGGTTAAATAAGAGGAACAGCGAATCCAGGAGTTGCCATGAGAATGATGTGAAGTCAAGGTGACCAAATACAAGGAAAAAAAAAAAAGAAATTCTTGGTTGGAAAGTCTTTTTTTTAATTTAAGATGGAGTTTCAAACTTGTTGCCCAGGCTGGAGTGCAATGGCGTGATCTCGGCTCATTGCAACCTCCACCTTCAGGGTTCAAATGATTCTCCTGCCTCAGCATTCTGAGTAGCTGGGATTACAGGTGCATGCCACCACGCCCGGCTAATATTTGCATTTTTAGTAGAGACGGAATTTTGCCATGTTGACCAGACTGGTCTCGAACTCCTGACCTCAGGTGATCTGCCCACCTTGGCCTCCCAAAGTGCTGGGATTACAAGTGTGAGCCACCGTGCCCAGCCAGAAAGTCTTTTTTTAAAAAGTGTGAATATTGGCTCTTATTCTCTTCTGGCTTATAGGGTTTCTGCTGAGAGGTCTGCTTTTAGTCTGATGGGCTTCCCTTTTTTTAGGCAACTTGGCCTTTCTGTCCTGCTGCCCTTAACATTTTTTCCTTCATTTTGACCTTGGAGAATCTGATGATTATGTGTCTTGGGATTGATCTTCTCATGGAATATCTTACTGGGGCTCCCTGTATTTTCTGAATTTGAATGTTGGCCTGTGTTGCTAGGTTGGGGAAGTTCTCCTGGATGATATTCTGAGGTATGTTTTCCAAATTGGTTCCACTCTCCCTGTCTCTTTCAGGTACCCCAATCAGTTGTAGAGTTGCTCCTTTTATATAATCCCATAGTTTTCAGAGTTTTGCTTGTTTCTTTTTATTCTTCTTTCTCTAATCTTGTCTCCCTGTCTTACTTCAGCAAGATAGTCTTGAAGCTCTGAAATTCTTTCCTCAGCTTGGTCTGTTAGGTTGTTGATACTTGTGGTTGCAAAATTATATTCTCATGTTGTGTTTTTCAGCTCCTTCAGGTCATTTATGTGCCTCTCTAAACTGGTTATTCTGATTAACAGCTCCTGTAATGTTTTGTCATGGTTCTTAGCTTCTTTGCATTGGGTTAGAACATGCTCCTTTAGCTCTGTGAAGTTTGTCATTGTCTTATCTTTTGAAGCCTACTTCTGTCAGTTCATCCATCTCAGCCTCAGCCCAGTTCTCTGTCCTTGCTGGAGAGATGTTGCAATCATTTGGAGGAGAGGAGGAACTCTGGCTTTTTGAGTTTTCAGTGTTTTTTTCATTGATTCTTTCTCATCTTCCTGAGTTTATCTGGTTTCTATCTTTGAGGATGATGACTTTGGATGGAGTTTTTATGGGGACTTTTTGTTGATGCTGTTGTTCTTATTTTCTGTTTGTTTGTTTTGCTTTCAAAAGTCAGGCTCCTCTCCCATAGGGCTGCTGTGGTTTTCTGAGGGTCTGCTCCAGACTCTATTTGCCTGGGTCCCTCTTGTATCTGGATATGTCACCGTGGAGGCTGCAGAATAGCAAAATGCCTGCCTGCTTCTTCCTCCGGGAGCTCCATTTCAGAGGGGCACTGACCTGATGCCAGAGGGAATATTCCTGTATAAAGTGTCTGGCAACCCCTGTCTCATCCAGTCAGGAGGCACGGGATCAGGGACCCTTTTAATGAAGAACTCTGCCTGCTCTTTGGTGGAGGGGCTGTCTGCACTGGGGCGAATCTCACTCATCTGGGCTGCCCAGATTCCTCAGAGCCAGCAGGGGGAAATACTTAAGTCCTCTGATTTACAGAGGTTGTGGTTGCCCCTCTCCTTAGTGGCTCCATTCCCAAGGGAGATCAGAGTTTTGTCCGTAAACCCCTGGCTGGACTTGCTGACATTTCAGCAGGGAGGCCCTGCCCAGTGATGAAGGATGGGTCTGGATCTGGCCTGAAGAGGCAGTCTGGTCAAGATCTGCCACATCAGCTGTGCTGAGCTGTGGAGAATTCCTCCTGGGTCCAATTTGCCCAGCCTCCTCAGCACTGCCAGAAGAAAACAGCAGACTGGAGCTGCAGTGATGGCCGCCTCCCCTCGCCCCAGCAGCTCAGTCATCCTAGGCAGCAGGCAGCCGCAGTGATGACAGCAAGCAGGCAGCCGCAGTGATGTCAGCCACCCATTTCTCCAGGAACTTGATAATTTTAGGCAGTCTCCAGCTGAACTACTGCCAAGAATCTGCACAGTCATGGGGCTCAAGGCTCTGGTGGCATGAGCTCATCAGGGGATCTCCTGATCCATGGGTTGCACAGATCAGTGGAAAAAGCATGGCTTCCCAGGTTGGGTAGCACAACCACTCCCTGCATCCCTTGGCTAGGGGTGGGAGCTCCCCTTGCCCTGTGTAGCTGCTGGGTGGGCTGTTGCTCTGCTTTTCCTCACTCTTCATGGTTCGCGCCAACCACCTAGTCTTTCCTAATGAGAGAGCCTGATACCTCAGTTGCCGATGCAGGATTCACTAGCTGTTTCCCCTCTTGGTTGGAGCCTCCCACTGCATCTCTTTCTAGTCGGCCATCTTTCAATTAAGTTATTATTGACTATAGTCATCCTGTGATGCTATCAAATAGTAGGTCATATTCATTCTTTCTGTTGTTTTTTTTGTACCCATTAACCATATCCACCTGCCTGTCAGCCACTGACTATCCTTTCCAGGCTTGGGTAACCATTCTTCTACTCTCTTTGTCTATTAGTTCAATTGTTTTGATTTTTAGATCCCACAAATAAATGAGAACATGCAATGTTTGTCTTTCTGTACCTGGCTTTTTTCACTTAATATGATTTCCAGTTCTATCTATGTTTTTGGAAATGACAGGATCTCATTTTTTTTATGGCTGATAATACTCCATTGTGTATATGTACCTACCACATTTTCTTTATCCATTCATCTGCTGGTGAACACTTCGGTTTTTCCCAAAGTGCTGCATCAAACAGGAGTGCAGATATCTCTTTGATATACTGATTTCTTTTTTGGGGGGTTATATACCCAGCAGTGGGATTGCTGGATCATATGGTAGCTCTATTTTTAGTTTCTAGAGAAAGCTCCACACTGTTCTCCATGGTGGTTGGACTAATGTACATTCCCACCAACAGTATACAAGGGTTCCCTTTTCTCTACATCCTTACCAGCATTTGTTATTGCCTGTCTTTTTGATATTAGCCATTTTGAGAGAGGCGAGAAGACATTCTAGTGTTGATTTTCATTTCTTTGATGATCAGTGATGTTGAACACCTTTTCATATGCCTGTTTGCCATTTTTATGTCTTCTTTTCCAAAATGCCTATTCAAATCTTTGCCCATCTTTTGATTAGATTATTAGAAATTTTCTTATAGGGTTATTTGAGCTCCTTATATATTCTTGTTATTAATTATTTGTCAGATGAAATTTCTACAAATATTTTCTCACATTCTGTGGGTTGTCTCTTCACTTTGTTGATTGAATCCTTTGCTGTGCAGAATCTTTTTAACTGTATGTGATGTCATTTGTTCATTGTTGCTTTGGTTGTCTGTGTTTGTAGGACATTGCTGAAGAAATCTTTGGCCAGACCAATGTCCTGGTGATTTTTTCCAATGTGTTTTTGTAGTAGTTTCATAGTTTGAAGTCTTAAGGTATTTAACCAATTTTGATTTGATTTTTTGTATATGGTGAGAGATAGGGGTCTAGATTCATTTTCCATATGGATATCCTGTTTTCCCAGCACCATTTATTGAAGAGACTGTCCTTTCCTGAGTGTATGTTCTTGGCACCTTTGTCAAAAATGGGTTCACTGTACATGTGTTTGTTTCTGTGTGCTCTATTTTGTTCCATTGGTATATGTGTCTGTTTTTATGTCAGTACCATGCTGTTTTGCTTACTGTAGTTTTGTAGTATAATTTTTCCTTGGGTTTTCTATGTTATAATGTTAAAATAGTCTGTGTTTTTCTGTGTACTTACTATTACCATTGAGTTTTGTACCCTCAGGTAATTACTTATTGCTCATTAACATCCTTCTCCTTCTGATTGAACTACTTCATTTAGCATTTCTTATAGGAGAGGTCTGGTGTTGATGAAATACCTCAGCTTTTTTTGTATGTGTGTGAGAAAGTCTTTATTTATCCTCCATATTTGAAGGGTATTTTTGTTGGACATACTATTCTAGGGTAAAAGCTTTTTTCTTTCAGCCCTTTGACTATGTCATGCCACTGTCTTCTGGCCTGTAAGGTTTCCACTGAAAAGTCTGCCGCCAGGTGTATTGAAGCTCCACTGTATTTATTTGTTTCCTTTCTCTTGCTGCTTTTAGGGTCCTTTCTTTATGCTTGATCTTTAGGAGTTTGATTATTAAATGCCTCGAGGTAACCCTTCTTTGGGTTAAATCTCATTGGTGTTCCATAACCTTTTTGTGCTTGTATATTGATATCTTTCTCCAGGTTTGGGAAGTTCTTTGGTGTTATTCCTTTGAATACACTTTCTAACCCCGCTTCTTTCTCTACTTCCTCTTTAAGGCCATTATCTCTTAAATTTGCTATTTTGAGGCTATTTTCTAGATCCTGTAGTTATGCTTCATTGTTTTTTTTTTTTTGTCTCCTATATGTATTATCAAATAACCTGTCTTCAAACTCACTAATTCTTTCTTCTGCTTGATCAGTTCTGCTATTGAAGAACCCTGATGCATTCTTCAGTATGCCAATTGCATTTTTCAGCTTTAGAATTTCTGCTTGAGTTTTTAAAAGGTATTTCAATCTCTATGTTATATGTATCTGATAGCATTCTGAATTCCTTCTCTGTGTTATCTTGGATTTCTTTGAGTTACCTCAACACAGCAATTTTGAATTCTCTGTCTGAAAGGTCACATATCTCTATTTTTCCAGGATTGGTCTCTTGTGTTTTATTTGTTTGTTTGGTGAGACCATGTTTTTGTGGGTGGTTTTGATGCTAGTAGATGTTTTTTGGTGTCTGGGCATTGAAGAGTTAGGTATTTAGTGTTAGTCTTCAGTTTCTGGGCTTGTTTATAGCCATCCTTCTTGTAAAGGCTTTTCAGATATTCAAAAGGACTTGGGTGCTGTGATCTAAGCTGTATCTGCTTTAGGGGGCACCCCAAGCCCAGTTACATTGTGGTTCTAGCAGAGTTGTAGAGATGTACCACCTTGATCGTCTTGGAGAAGATCTGAGTATATTCTCTGGATTAGCAGGCAGAGGCTCTTTATCTTTTCCCCTACTTTCTAATAAATATACAGAGTCTCTCTGTTTTCTGGGCTACCTATTCAAAATAGCTGTGTTGAGGTAGCTCAAATCCAAGATAACAGAGAGAAGGAATTCAGAATTCTATCAGATGAATTTAACGTAGAGATTGAAATAACTTTGAAAAAGTTCTCCAAGACCATCAAGGTGGTGCTCCTCTACAAAATCCCAGGGTGTGTCTAGAAATGTCATCTGGGTGCTAGGGCCTGGAACAGGGGCCTCATTACTCTGACCAGTGCCCTATCATGCTGTGGCTGAGCTGGTGTCCAAGATGTACGACAAAGTCCTCACTACTCTTTTCTTTCCTCTTTTCAAGCAGAAGGAAGTGTTTCTTTTGGAACCACAAGCTCTACAGCCTAGGGTTAGGGGAAGGGTGATGCCAGCACTTCCTTGGCTGCCCCAGCTGATATCTCAGTATCTCACGTGCCCCTTCCAGTCCAATGTCTCTGGCCTAGTTCAGCTCTAGGCTTACCTAAAAGTTGCAGTTCTTATGGCCTAGACTGCCTTTGAAGTTTACTTGGAGACCAAGAGCACTTTGGCCCTTGGTGGAAGGTGTGTGGGCACTCACAATGGGACCTGGGCTGATTTAAATGCTCTCTCTGTGGGTGGGCATCAGCTGAGTTTGGTCTGTTTTTCTTCCCCCAGCTCTAACAGAACAGCACTGAGTTCAGTGCGTCACAATTACTGTGTTCTCCCCCTCTCAGCAGCCAGAGATGCTCTTTGCACCACTCTGTAGCTGCCTGGGTTGGGGAGGGGTCGCATTGGTGATTCAGGACTGTTTTTGTGATCTCTTCAGTGCCTCTTTCAGTGATATGAAGTTAAAACCAGGTACTGTCAGTGCTCATCTGATTTTTGGTTCTTACAGAAGGTGTTTTTTTCTGTGTAGATAGTTGTTAACTTGTTTTTTGTTTTTTGTTTTTTTTTTTGCTGGGGAAGGGGATAATTTATGGAGCTTTCTATTTCTTTATCTTTATCTGCCTCCTTATTACTATTTTTTTGAGACAGCATCTGTCTGACACTCAGGCTGGAGTGCAGTGGCACAATCACGGCTCACTGCAGTCTCGAGCTCCTGGGCTGAGGTGATTCTTCCATCTCAGCCTCCTGAGTTACTGGGACTAGTGGCATGTGCCACCACTGCCAGCTAACTTTTAAAATTTTTCGTTGAGATGCAGTTTTGCTATGTTGCCTGGGCTGGTCTCAAACTTCTGGGCTGAAGCGATTCACTTGCATCTGCCTTCCAAAGTGGTGGGTCTACAGGCGTGAGCCACTGAGCCCAGACTCATGTGGATTATTGATGACCAATTAGTAAATATTTTCTTCTCTACATTGAATTGCCTTTGCACTTTTATTGAAAATCAATTGACCATGTAAGTGTTTGCATTTCTGCATTTAGTTTTATTCCAGTAAACTATGTTTCAGTCTCTTTTCCAACCCCACACTGTTTTTTTTCCAAAATTGCTTTGATTTTTTTTAGTTTGTTTGCTTTTCCATATACATTTTAGAACCAGTTGGTTGAGTATTCAGTTGGGATTGTATTGAATCTCTAGATCGATATATGGAGAATTGACATTTTGACATTTAGCCTTCCAATCCATTCACAAGGTTTGTTTCTCCCTTTATTTAGACCTTTTTAAAATTTATCAGTGGTTCTAGTTTTAAGAGTAGAGATTTTGCAAATGTTTATTAGATTTATAAATTTTATTGGTGTTACAAATATTACTGATTTTAATTTTTAATTTACAATTGCTTATTGCTAATTATATAGAGATATGATTGATTTCTTCTATTGACTTTTTGTCCTTTAATCTTTCTGAGCTTATTTATTCTAGTAACTTTTTAGTAACTTCTTTGTGATTTTTTTCTCTAGACAATTCTGTTGTGTATGAATAGGGACAGTATGTACAGCTTTAATTTCTTTTCTTTGTTTATTGCACGTTTAGAAACTTTAGGATGATGTTGAATAAGAGTGATGACAGTGAGCATCCTTATCTAGTAAACAATACTGGGGGGTAATTTTTAGTCTTTCACAATTAAATATAATTTAAGTATATTAAAAAATACATAATTACATATTATGTAAGATAAAGATATAAAGATTCCTTTTATCATGTCAAGGAATTCCGTTTTAATTCTTCATATGCTGAGAATAAGTAGCTACTGAATTTTGAATTTTGTCAAATGCTTTTTTTGTGCATTTGTTGAGATGATCATATAGATTTTCTTTATGGATCTGTCACTATGGTGAATTACATTAATTGATTTCTGAATGTTGAACTGATCTTGCACACCCAAGATAAATTGTGCTTGGTCATGATATACTTTCCTCAGACTGATGGATTTGATTTGCTAATACTTTGCTGAGAATTTTGAGTCTATGTTCAGAAGGAATACCAGTCTTTAGTTTTCTTCTTGTTTAATGTCTTCATCTGCTTAGTAATTTCATCTAAGTTCACAAAATTAGGAGTTAACATTGTTCATAATGTTCTCTCATTATCCTCTTAATAATGCCCAGTGGCTTTTAGGGATGTTAACCTTTTCATTCCTGATATTGCTAATATGTCAACTAATTCTATTGATTACTGAAATAGTCGTATTGAAGGGTTAAACATAATTGTGGTTTTGTATATTTCATCTTTTATTTCTATTAGTTTCTTTCGTGCATTTTCTTTTTCTTTTTTTTTTCTTTTGAGATAGAGTCTTACTCTGTAGCCCAGGCTGGAGTGCAGTCTCAGCTCGCTGCAAACTCTGCCTCCCAGATTCAAGTGATTCTTGTGCTTCATCCTCCCAAGTAGCTGGGATTATAGGCACCTGCCACCACACCATGCTAATTTTTGGATTTTTAGTGGAGACAGGGTTTTGTCATGTTGGCCAGGCTGGTCTTGAACTCCTGACTTCAGGTGATCTGCCGCCTCAGCCTCCCAAAGTGCTGGGATTACAGGTGTGAGGCACCTTGCCTGGCCTTTTTCATGCATTTTCAAGTGGTGGTGTTAGGTGTGTATACTTTTAGGATTATTGGTCTTGGTGAGCTGACTCCTTTATCACTATTTGATGGTGGTCTTTAGTCCTAGTTTTAGTTCTTGGTCTTAAGTCTACATTCTCTTATTTTAATATAGCCTCTCGAGCTCTCTTTTTATTATTGTTTGCGTGGTCCCTTCAATCCTTTTTCTTATAATCTATTCATGACTTTATATAATATTTAAACAATTTTCTATAAATAGTATATCATTGGATTTTCCTATTTTAACCAATATGGTAATCTGTCTGTTAGATATATAAATATATCATTGATTTTGTTTCCTTTAGATAAATATCCTGTACTGGAATTGCTGGATTGTATGGTACTTTTATTTTTAGATATTTAGGCAACTTTTATACTGTGCTCCATCGTGTCTATGTACTAATGTACTAATTTACATTTCCACTATTTCTTGTAATGGTATACAAGAATTGCCTTTTCTTTTCTTCCTCGCCTGCATTTGCTATTTTTTATCCTTTTCATAGTAGTCATTCTGCTGGGGTGAGATGGTATCTCATTGTGGTTTGGTGTGCCTTTCCTTGATGATTAGTGATGTTGAGCATTTTTTCATATGTTTTGGGGACATTTGTATGTCTCCTTTTGAGAAATATCTGGTCATTTCTGCTGTCCACTTTTTAATGAGGATATTTTATTTTTTTGTTGTTGTTGAGTTTTTTGAGTTCTTTGTATATTCTAGAGAGTTAGTCCCTTTGGGTAAATAATTTGCAAATATTTTCTTTTATTCTAAAGATTGTCTAATCATTTTGTTGATTGTTTCCTTCACTGTGCAGAAGCTTTTTAGTTCAATTAGTCCCATTGGTCTATTTTTGTTTCTGTTGCCTGTGCTTTTGATGTCTTAGCCATTAAATCTTTGCCTAGACCAATCTACTGAAGTGTTTCTTCTAATAGTTTTATAGTTTCAGTTCTTATATTTAAGTCCATAATTCACATTGAGTTGATTTTTGTATATGGTGAGAGATGGGGTCTAGTTTCATTCTTCTGCATGTGGATATTCAGTTTTCACAGCACCATTTATTAAAGAGACTGTCCTTTCCCCAGTGTATGTTCTCTCTGTGCATTTGTTAAAAATTATTTGTCTGTAAATACATGAAATTACTTTTTGGTTTTTTATTCTCTTCCATGGGTCTATGTATCTGTTTATTTACTAACACTGTGTTATTTTGACTATTATGGCTTTTTGTTTTGGCATATGAAGTATGGTAGTGTGATGACTCCATGTTTGTTCTGTTTGCTCAATGTTGTTGGCTATTTGGGGTATTTGTGTTTCCATGTCAATTTTAGGATTGATTATTTTCTCTATTTCTGTGAAGAAAGTCATTGTATTTTGAAAGGGATTACATTGGCTCTGTAGATTGCTTTGGGTGGTATGGTCATTTTAACAATGCTATTCTTCTAATCCATGAGCATGGGAGGTTGTTTTATTTGTTCGTGTTTTATTTTTATATTCATCAGTGTTTTGGAATTTTCATTGCAGTCTTTCAGCCCGTTGGTTAAATTTATTTCTAGGCATTTCAATTTTTTGTAGCTATTGTAAGTGGGATTGACTTCTTGATTTTTTTTCAGGTTGTTCACTATTCATGTATAGAAATAGTTATGATTTACATAGGTTGAATTTGTATCTTGAAACTTTACTTAATAATTTATCAGTTTCAACAGTTTTTTTTTTTTGGCAGAAGCTTTAGGTTTTTCTAAATAAAAGATCATGTCATCTATGAACAAGGATAATTTGGCTTCCTTTTTTCCCATTTGGATTTCTCTTTTCCCCTCTTGCCTAATTGCTCTGGCTAGAACA